>NC_000008.11:136620455-136922533 GCF_000001405.40 Homo sapiens | reverse complement strand
TGTTTTTAATTACATTTTCAAAAGAAAAACATTTAAAATGGGATATGATAGAATGAACAAGATTGGTAGTAAATATTCGAACCTCATTCTGTATTTTTCACCATGGCTACCCCCTAAAAAATGCAGGAAATTAGAAGAGTTGTAACTTTAACTTTTGACTTTATATATCTGTCAACTGATTGATTTCTTGCAATGAGATTGATTATTTGCGGAATCCAAGATATAGAATCAATGCAAGCGTTCATCAGCAAATGTGTGGATAAAGAAAATGTGCTATATATACAGCATGATAATCATAGTTAATAATATTGCATTATATACTTGAAATTTGCTAAGTCAGTATTAAATGGTTTAACTACACACATACACATGCACACACACACATACATACACACAAACACAAAGGTAACTATGTAAGGTAATGGATATGTTATCTAGGTAGTTAATAGCAATCATTTCACAATATATATGTGTATCAAAACAACATGTTTTATACCTTAAATATATACATTTTTATATGTCACTTATAAAATTGAGGTAGTGGGGAAGGAGATCTACCAGTTAGCACAGTGAACAAACATGAAATAGCTCAAAGGCTATTTCATATTTGTGAAATATGAAAGTGCTAATTACTTTGATTGAATAACTTGTTTATTTCTATAACACTTTCTGATTTAGCTCTTATCATCTTAGTTTTATAGACAAAGATATAGAAGTTTAACTGCTTGAATTATAGCCAAATAAATCAAAACTAGCAAGTGAATTTGAGCATATACCTACTGACTTCAAGTCATATTTTCTCCAGATTGCAATTAATTCCATATAATGAATATGTTGTATAAAAAAAGCAGAAAAAGTTGACTGAAAAGTCACCTAGATACAACGAAAAAGTAATATTTCATCTAGGTTTTTTAGAAGATTATAATTTATAAAACATTGGCTTCGTCAGACACTAAGTTTTTTTGGTAAAATAATATCTTAATCTTCACAAGAACTTAAAAAGGCAACTCTTGTTAATGGTTGTTTTTGTTTTGTTTTCAATATGTGAAGAAAAGTCCATAGTGGTCACCTCCTAAAGGGATTCTGGAACTGGAATTGGGAATTAGGTTCCAGGCTACAAAGCCCATGTTCATTCCATTATGCATAAATTGCACAAGCAATGATGGTGGCACAGGCAGCTCAGTCAGCATAAAAGAACACAGTGAGTCATGAAAGTATAGTTATAATCAAGGTGTATGAGGAGTTTTACTGGAAGGACCACAGAGATTTGGAGCATAAAGGAAAAAATGCAAAAAAAATTAAACTTGGAATTAGGAAATGCAAAGGTCCTAGCCTTTTGTTTTTCACCAGGTACTTATTAATTATTTGTGGTTTTTTTTTTGATCTTCAAATTTCTTATTTATTGAACTCTCCAGGCACTGAAAATACAAATGTGAACAAGACAATATGGTCCCTGGTCTTTTGAAACTTACATTCTACTTGGAGAAACAACGTTAATACTAATAAAGAGACTCACGGTCAAAACAGTTATAGATTGTACCAACGATCATGAAGGCAGCATATAAAGTGAAGACAGGGGTGGGAGAATACTTCTGTAGAATTGCAGAAAGGACTTTCTGACATGGGAGCTGGAATGTATTTTAAATGTTTATTAATTTCATATTGCTGCTTTAGAATATACACTCTAAACTTAATGCTTCAAACAACAACAACAAGACAACAAACACATTATCTTGCAGCTCTGGAGGTCAAATGTATGAAATGGGTTAGCAGGGCTATACTCATAATATGGTTTGGATCTGTGTCCCTACCCACATCTTATGTTGGTGATCTTCATTGTTGAATGAGGGGCCTAGTAGGAGGTGATTGAATCATGGGAGTGGACTTTGCTTTTTCTATTTTCATCAGAATTTTCACAAGATCTTGTTGTTTGAAAGTGTGTGGTGCTTCCCACTTTGTACTCTCTCTCTCTCTTCTGCTCTTCATGCTAAGGTGTGCTTGCCCCTCTTCACCTTCTGACATAATTGTAAATTTTCAGAGTCCTCCCAGTCATACTTTCTGTACAGCCTGTGAAACTGTGAGTCAATTAAATATGTTTTCTTCAGAAATTACCCAGCCTCAGGTGGTTCTTCATAGCAGTATGAGAAGAAACTAATGCAATGCTCTTCTGGAAGCTTGAGAGGAGAATGTGTTTCCTTGTCTTTCCAGCTTCTGGAGGCTGCTCAAACTTCATGGTCTGTGTTCCCTTCCTCCATCTTCAAAGACAACAGTATAGTATCTTCAAATATTTTTCTCTCTATGATCTCTGCTTCAATCATTGATAGTGGCAGGAGGCAAACAAATCCCAAGGCAGATAGGGGCAGGTCCCTGGTGAAACCCTACCCTGAAGCCTGAAGACTGGATGTTGGTTCCAGAAGAAGCCTGCGACCCAGAGTGAGAACTTCTAATCCTGTTTGCCTAGTATTTCCTGATTGGTTTCTGCTGAATAATGCTTTTCAATCAATCAAATGTTGCCTTTTTCAATGCTACCTATGGCCCACACCTCCCCAATTCTGTGCCTATGAAAAACCCCAAACTCAGCTACACTTGAGAGCTACCCAACTTCAGATAGTGGGTTGCCCAGTACAGGTCCTCTCTCTGCTGAGAACTATTCCATTGCTCAAGAAAACTCTCCATCCTGCTCACCCTCTGGTTGTCAGTGTAACCTCATTCTTCTTGGACATGGGACAAGAACTCAGGACCCACCAAAGGTGGATATGAAAAAGCCTGTAACACTGTAGCCCTGTGCCAGCACCGGACTGCTGCTTCATGTAACAGGAAGCAATGGCAGGGCCAGGCCAGCCCAGGAGCCATGAGCCACAGTGGGACAGTGAGATTGAACAAGCTGTAATGCAAATGGACTGAAATATGCCCCTTTCCCCCTATTCACTGAGCTGTGAGTGGTAGGAAGGAAAGAAGACCTATGACTCTTCTGGGGCCCCAGACCTCGGGGCTCCCTGAGACAGAGCTGTGACACACTGTAACACCCTTTTTGGAGTTCCACGGTTTCTGACGTGTCTTGAGTTTTTTGGGCACTTCCTTATTCCGTTTGTCCAGATGCTGGTTCCCAAGGCAGAAGCAGGTCATGGCATCCCCAGCCCAGCCACAGACTGAATATGGATTCCACAATGAGTGTGGGATCTGGGCCAGGGCACAAGACAATGGCAACCTGCTGGACAAGTGGGCAGGGTAACTTGAGCAGTGAGACCAGAGCCAAGCAAGGCCCTGGGCAGAGGCATTGCTGGTTTCAGAGGTCTGCAGCTGGTGAAGCAACACCGCCAAAATCCTGCATTACTTTTGGGGGCTTGTCCAGGATCTGTGGAAGGGTGAGTAAGTGTGAACCTAAAACACTTTCACTTTCATTTCTAAGGCGTCTTGTCCTCAGACTTTTTTCTGAAGGCAGATAAAGCACCAGATCTCTGTCAGCCAATTAAGGCTGAATGATGCAGCTGCAGAGGACAGGCTTGCTGGGGATAATTTTGTTAACCCTCCACACCCCCATCAACCCTGGGTATTGGGGATAATGGCTTCGTTTCAATCCAGTCTCCTTTTGAAGGAGGTCTAGCTGTTATGTTGGAATGGAAGGAGGTCCTGGGGCAACTGAGGGTATCTGGTATCTTGCCGAGGCTACATCTCCATGTTATCCATAGGCACATCAACTGACTCCAGTCCCCAATCACCCATTAGGGTGTCAGCATCAAGACCCCCAGTGTTTTCTATCACACTTTCCAACTTGTTTTTGTGTGGCTGTCATGCTTTCCATCTCTTCTTTACATACAATGTTAAGGGTGGTGTTGCAAACCACAGAGATAATATTACTGGTGAAAATGAGTACTTGGCTCAGTCATCAGGGATGAAATCCCCAACAATGTGGTTTCCGTCTATTTTTAGAAGACAGAAGAATATAACAATCAAGAGCTTTCTTTTTCCTCTTGAAAGAATCTATTTGCAAACCATAAAAACCCTAGAAGAAAACCTAGGCATTACCATTCAGGACATAGGCATGGACAAGGACTTCATGTCTAAAACACCAAAAGCAATGGCAATAAAAGCCAAAATTGACAAATGGGATCTAATTAAACTAAAGAGCTTCTGAACAGCAAAAGAAACTACCATCAGAGTGAACAGGCAACCTACAAAATGGGAGAAAATTTTTGCAACCTACTCATCTGACAAAGGGCTAATATCCAGAATCTACAATGAACTCAACAAATTTACAAGAAGAAAACAAACAATCCCATCAAAAAGTGGGCGAAGGACATGAACAGACACTTCTCAAAAGAAGACATTTATGCAGCCAAAAAACACATGAAAAAATGCTCATCATCACTGGCCATCAGAGAAATGCAAATCAAAACCACAATGAGATACCATCTCACACCAGTTAGAATGGCAATCATTAAAAAATCAGGAAACAACAGGTGCTGGAGAGGATGTGGAGAAATAGGAACACTTTTACACTGTTGGTGGGACTGTAAACTAGTTCAAACATTGTGGAAGTCAGTGTGGCGATTCCTCAGGGATCTAGAACTGGAAATACCATTTGACCCAGCCATCCCATTACTGGGTATATACCCAAAGGACTATAAATCATGCTGCTATAAAGACACATGAACACGTATGTTTATTGCGGCATTATTCACAATAGCAAAGACTTGGAACCAACACAAATGTCCAAAAATGATAGACTGGATTAAGAAAATGTGGCACATATACACCATGGAATACCATGCAGCCATAAAAAATGATGAGTTCATGTCCTTTGTAGGGACATGGATGAAATTGGAAAGCATCATTCTCAGTAAACTATCGCAAGAACAAAAAACCAAACGCCACATATTCTCACTCATAGATGGGAATTGAACAATGAGATCACATGGACACAGGAAGGGGAATATCACACTCTGGGGACTGTTGTGGGGTGGGGGGAGGGGGGAGGGATAGCACTGGGAGATATACCTAATGCTAGATGACGAGTTAGTGGGTGCAGTGCACCAGCATGGCACATGTATACATATGTAACTAACCTGCACAGTGTGCACGTGTACCCTAAAACTTAAAGTATAATTAAAAAAAAAAAAAAGAATCTATTTGCATAAAGTAAGAGGCTTTTTCCCCTCAGGCACCTTCCCCTCCCCTGGAGATAAGTTGTTTCTTTTTCTCCACCATGTCATGAGTTAACATAGTCCTGTGAATAAAGTGAGTTTTTCTATGTGAGAGGTTAGTTATTTTTCCTCTTGAGAGGGATTTTACTAGGCCAGGTCCCCAATTCCTGGGACTCCCTTTCTCTCCCTTGTTTGTTGAGTACCTGGTTTCACAGCTTCACCTTAGCATTCTGCTTATGATAGGGAAGCAACAGAGGAGTTATCTCAGTGGTTGCTGGCTGCAACTTGGCAAGGGCCTCTTGGGACTAATTTAACAGGTCCATACACCCTCCTGAGGCACCATTTGTTCCAAATTCAATTTCAAGCTTCAGTTTGAAGACCTAAACACAAAGACTAGATCTGAGGGACCCAGAGGCAGATGACAGTGGAAGTCTAGGGGCACAGTGCAGGGGAGCATAACTTATTCCTGCCGAATAGGCCCTCCACTTCATGGTTAGAGGTCATGCTAGCATCCATAGAATAGATGAGGTCTAGGGAAGTGAAAGGTTACTGACAGCGGGAGGCTTAGGAACCAAGTAGATGAGTGTGAATACTTCTCTACGTAGGCCTCGCTGTTTCATGGGTGAATGTCACACTGGCACACATAGTTGGCACCCAATAGTGGCTGCCAGGACTCAGGGAAGGAAAGAACAGAGCAAAAAAAGAAATGCCATTTTTCTCTCCCTCATGTACCCCAGGTTTTCTCTGAAAAGAGAAAGGAACAAAAAGACTCTTTTTTTCCCATCTTTCTAGATGTGTAATCAACTGTCTTCAGCCTGCACTCCTCTCAAGTGCACCGTGAGTCACCGGGAATCATTTGACCCACAGACTCCTGGAAATTAAAAAAAAAAAAAAAAAAAAAAAAAAATAATAATAATAATAATAATAATAATAATAAAACCCTTTTCTTTTTCCTCCTCTGTTCTCTCTTCACAGATGGTAACTGCATCTCTGTACCACAGGACACTCCTCAGATGCATCCCCCAAACTGAGAGAAGTTTGATTTCCCCAAACATAAAACTGCTTGGCTTAAAAATGAACTAGAAATAATTTACAAATCTAACTGAACAATCTCTTGAGGAGGGACAACTTTTACAGTATGCAGATAACCTCTTTGACTGCTTTGCCTTCATAGGACTCCAGGGTCAATAGGGCCCAGGGGGAGGGAACCCAGAAGCCTGACATATCCACAAAAGGGTAAAAATTCTTACTAGTTGGACTTCTGGCTTCTCTTTTTTCTGTGCAAACTGGTTGTAGGAATGATAAAAATCACTGTAGTCTCTTCCCCTCCATGATCAACTCCCAATCTCACTTCTTGAATTTTCCTTTCTCTGAGCTATTTTTGTAGATTCTAAATCTTGTAGAAGCTGCTTACTTCCTCCTTGAAAATACCACATACACTTGTAGTTAAGTCATAACCTTTGTTTAATGCTTATCAGTTTTATCTGTGAGGTTACTTTTGGTAAA
Source organism: Homo sapiens (assembly GCF_000001405.40). NCBI lineage: Eukaryota > Metazoa > Chordata > Mammalia > Primates > Hominidae > Homo > Homo sapiens. Next base: position 136,915,883 of record NC_000008.11, on the reverse strand, counting down.
GTTCAAAAGCCAGAAGCACTGGCTGCCATTTGATGTGTCTAAGGTCGGGTAACATATTTAAAAGGATTTTTTTTTTTAAAAAAAGAGTGCTCTGATTAAAAGTCAGATTAATAAAAAGTTGATATTCAAACTATAGCTGTATTTAAAAGGTCTTCCTTTCTTTTCTCTTTTTGGATCTTATTTTTCTGGAAAAATATTATTATTTTTTCTTCTGAGTCAACTAAATTATTTTTCTCCATTTTGTCTTGCCACTCTTAATGTACACATGAGAGGCCCTAAGATAATTTCTGATAGCCTGGGACTCCTTAGGAAAATGGGGGAGGTTCCAGAGACCCCGTTTTGGAAGAAAAATAACTCTGTTTTCTTCATGGAGCCCCATGAAGGAATTGAAATTGGATAAATCCCACTCAAAATTGAAGGCAAATGAAAGCTCTTACAACTACTGGATCTTCTTCTGTATGTCTGTGTTGTTTTATATGTGTTATGTGTGCAATGTTTATATAAAAGAGTTCTAATTAATTGGCTTAAAAAATAAGTGATGAGATAAAATATTTTTAAAAGAATAATTAAAGATTTATTGCCTTTTAGTTATGTGACTTTAATCTTTGAGAAATAAAAACAGCTGTAAAGATTATTGGTAAAATAAAAATATCTTCAAAATGTAGACATGTGGTCTAAATTATGCAGGTCAGACACTGGGTTTGCTAAATGCTTTAAGGTCATAAACTGATTCTTTGACTTTCAAAAATTGTTCAAATTGCCTGCTTTACAGTTTCATTAAGCCTTTGGACATGTGGAGTTAACCATGTCTCTAGGCTGGAAAGTATCAGACGTGATGTGTACCTAGTACACATTTAAAAAACTTAACAGGGTTCACACCAAAATTAAAAATTGCTAAGAGTTACCATTATATCATGTAATTGAGACTACTGAAAATAGATTTACATGTGATGTTTGTAAGGAAAATAAAATGTGTTTTTCGTAAAAGATTATGAGAATACATGACAATGTAAATTTTTGCCTTATTTAGAGGGTTAAAGGATTGTTTTAAATTAGATAACATAAAGCTAAAAGTTTAAACAAGTTGTGGAAGGTTTGTAAAAATTAATCTTGTAAAAGAAATTCTGTGTGTGAACATATTGACTAAAAACAAAGGGGATTACTTGTTCTTTCCATAAATTGTGCATTAGAATAAAAGCACAAAAATGTTTTCTTAAGGCACTGATTTGCTCTTTAACAAAAATTTGTAAAGAGTTATAAAAAGTTTACAAGAATCTCACCTTATGGTCAAAGTGATTAAAATTAGATTTGTCTATAAGGTTTCATTTAAAAATCTGGGTTGACCTTAACAGTAGACTAATGCAAGGGTGAAATGTGGCATTCACTATCTTGAAAAATATTTTTATGTAATATTATAGGATAATGAAAAGTTTTTGTTTGCCTTGAGAATAATCTAACAAAAAGGAAGGGAAAGAGAAGGGACAGATTCTTTGGAAAGCTAAGTCTTCCCTCTTCATAAGTAAAGGTTTTGACTTTTTAAAAGTTTTTGAGTCATCATTTTGGCTAAATAAATGATTTATGGTAATGTGGAATTCTATTTAATAACATCATGCGTTTTAAACCTTTAACATGTTTGATAGGTTTCCAACAATCAAATTTCAGCTTCGAAATAGTATTTTCTGACCCCAAAATTTGGGATACTACAGAAGGCCATTGGAGCATCCAAAAGAGAAGTAAACAGGATTATTTGACATGTTTAGTTACATGACACTGTCAAAATAAAAATAATGTTTAATCCTCTCAGGTTATATTTTAGTGAATAATAATATATGTTCCAAAATTGTTTGGGATTTCTAAGATTCCAATATCTGAGTATATGCTATCAATCATAGTTAGAGTTATTAGGTTAAGTTATTGCACACCACAAAAAATAACCAGATTTCTTTGTCAATTATGTTTCTGACTGTGACTACCCTAAGACATTTTATCTTTCACAGACAACTGTTGTCTTGTGTTGATCCTCTTCAAAACATGGTTTATAATCAGCCACAAGACTTTGACAGGTGCTTTCTAATGCGGGTTTCTGATAACTTTAGAGACTGTGACGTTAGAGTAGGGGAAAAATGTTCAGGACTCATGAAGAGCTGAAATATTCATGAATATCAAGCAGAACAAGTATTGACTGAATAGATTGAGCTAATAGAAGATGAAGTAATCTTTCTTAACTTTTTTCCTAAAACATTGCTGATCCTTTATTTTTCAGAGTCAGGAAAACTTTTATTTTTGAGCTATTTACAGCTTTTGACAATTGAGTAAAATATACTCCTGTGAACAAAATGTGTAGCATATTTGTTTCTCTCTGCCTGCTTCCTCCAGAATTTGGAAACTATTTGTGAGTATTCTTAACTTACGGCAATATAGTTATTTGCATAAGTGCAATAAGAATTCATTTTCTTTTGCAACACGATGCAACTGCAGAAACTGGTTATTTTACTAAGGCTTTGACTATAAGGATGTGCTTCCTTTTAAGGAATCAACCTTGACTTATAAAGCCAATAAAAGCCCTTAGGAAAACTGGCCTCACACCTTGTCTACACAGTCCTTGTACAGGGTTCCTAACCTGTGTTGAGTAAAGAATGTCACTTTCTAACAGGTGCGAGGGCCCCAAGTTATTTTGGAACCTCAAAAGGAGAGGACTTTACCCAACTCATAGGTAGTTGAGAATACAAACCTATGGCTGGGCTCAGTTTTAAAAAGTCTTATCTGAGATTCCTTATGGAAAAGAGTTCCATCAAAGTCAATTTAAAAAGCCAATGTGAAAACAATTATTCTTCTTTGCTTTATGCTAATAATCAGGCCAAGTATAATAAGACCTCAGTTAATTTGGAAACAAATCAGTCCTATCATGATTTGTTTTTAACAAAAATGAGAACAGGAGAAAAAAAAATTATGTTTCAAATGTTATGGTACATCTACTATTAGACTGTAGTCTCATTAGTTGTTTTAAACTTTTTGTCTACAATGTATACTAATGTTGGGAACAAGCCCCCCAAAATCTGGCCATAAACTGGCCCCCAAACTGGCCATAAACAAAATCTCTGCAGCACTATGACATGTTCATGATGGCCATAACGCCCACACTGGAAAGTTGTGGGTTTACGGGAATGAGGGCAAGGAACACCTGGCCTGCCCAGGGTGGAGAACCGTTTGAAGGCATTCTTAAGCCACAAACAATAGCATGAGCGATCTGTGCCTTAAGGACATGCTCCTGCTGCAGTTAACTAGCCCACCCTATTCCTTTAATTCGGCCCATCCCTTCATTTCCCATAAGGGATACTTTTAGTTAATTTAATATCTATAGAAACAATGCTAATGACTGGTTTGCTGTTAATAAATACGTGGGTAAATCTCTGTTAGAGGCTCTGAACTCTGAAGGCTGTGAGACCCCTGATATACCACTTCACACCTCTATATTTCTCTGTGTGTGTCTTTAATTAATCTAGCGCCACTGGGTTAGGGTCTCCCTGACTGATCTGGTCTCGTCAAGTGGTGTCCATTGTGGGGGCTCAAATCCAGGTCAAAGGGTCACTGGAGCGAAGGTTGGAGAACGTGGAACTAGCTGGAGGACACCCGAGCACTCTTAAAGCAATCCCCATGGTAACACGGGGAGCTCAGAAACATCAGGGTAACAATGGGATAAGTGTGGGGTCTAGTTTGTTCCACCTTGGGACTTTTTCACACTGATGATGAGGAGGGACAGTATAACGAAGTAACAGAAGAGGTTACAGAGTATGTTTATTTGCCAGCTAAAGCTAAAGCGGCAAAGGAGGGAGAGGTTCATCCCTACCCTTCTGCACCCCCTCATTATTATTTTAAAGAAAAAGACCCTCCAGATCTTTCTTTTCCAGAGGACACTGGGTGAAAAGCTGTTGCCCCAGTGACTGTTTGAGCAGTGTCTCGAGCGACTGCTCTTAGTTCTATTCAGGCAGGAATTCAGCAAGTTAGACGAGAGGGTGATTTAGAGGCTTGGCAGTTCCCTGTCAGAATACACCCCCCCCCAGATCAACAGGGAAATATTATAGCTACATTTGCCTTTTCCTTTTAAATTACTCAAAGAATTTAAACAAGCTATTCATACTAAAAAGGAATGTAGAAATAATCAGAGAGTCAGGCCGCCAGATAGGGGAAAAAAGAAAACTGCTGAGTCTGAAATATGTCCAAAATATAAAATGAAAACATTGGGCTAATCAGTGTCACTCTAAGTTTGATAAAGAAGGGAACCTGATTTTGGGAAACATCATGAGGGGCCTGTCCCAGGTCCCATTCTAAATTGGGGCATTTCCAGCTCAGGCCATTCCCTCACCCCTGTACAATGTCTGTCTCCTGCCACAGCCGGTAGTGCCGCAGTAGATTTATGCTGCATGAAAACTGTGGGCCTTCAGCCTGGGGAACCCCTGCAAAAGGTCCCAACAGGAATCTGTGGACCCTTGCCAGCGGAGACAATAGGATTACTTCTACGAAGGTCTAGTTTAAGTTTAAAAGGGGTACAAATACATACAGGAATCATTGATTCAGATTATAATGGGGAAATTCAAATTGTTATATCTACTTCTGTTCTCTGGAAAGCAGAGCCAGGAGATAGTATAGCACAGCTCCTGATCGTGCCATATGTGGAAATGGGAAAAGTGAAATTAAACGAACAGGAGGATTTGGAAGCACAAATAAACAAGGCAAAGCAGATTATTGGGTAAATCAAATTACTAATAAATGTCCTACCTGTGAAATAACTATTCAGGGAAATAAATTTAAAGGTTTGGTAGACACAGGAGTGGACATTTCAATCATTTCTCTACAGCACTGGCTGTCCATGTGGGCAATTCAACCCACTCAATTTAACATAGTTGGAGTTGATAAAGTCCCTGAAGTATATCAAAGTAGTTATATTTCGCATTGTGAAGGGCCCGATGGGCAACCTGGGACTATTCAAACAATTACAACTTCTGTACCTATAAATTTATGGGGAAGAGATTTATTACAACAATGGGGAGCACATCCAGAACAATTATATAGCCCTCAAAGTCAACATACAATGCATGAAATGGGACTGGTATGGGACTAGAAAAAAATTTGCAAGATTTGAAAGAACCGCTTCAAGTGGAAAGACAAAATTCTCGCCAAAGATTAGGATATCATTTTTGATGGCAGCCATTGTTAAGGTTCCAGAACCTATACATTTAAAATGGTTAACAGATAAGGAATTTTGGATAGAACAATGGCTGCTAAGTAAAGAGAAACTTGAGGCTTTAGAGAAATTAGTTACTGAACAATTAGAAAATGGGTACATAGCTCTAACATTTTCCCTTTGGAATTCTCCAGTTTTCGTAATTAAGAAAAAATCAGGCAAACGGAGAATGTTAACTGACTTAAGAGCTACCAATTCAGTTATACAACCTATGGGAGCATTATAGCCAGCATTGCCTTCCCTGCTATAATTCCAAAAAATTGGCCTTTAATAGTCATAGATTTAAAAGACTGTTTCTTTAATATCCCCTTAACTGAGCAAGACTGTGAACGGTTTGCATTTACAAATCCTGCAGTAAACAACCTGCAGCCTCCTAATTGTTTTCATTGGAAAGTGATGCCACAAGGCATGTTAAACAGTCCAACAATTTGCCAGATGTATGTAGTGCAAGCAATTGAACCTAGCTCTCTTTGGCAAATGGATGTAACACATATTCCCTCATTTGGGAGACTATCTTATGTACATGTATGTGTGGACACCTTTTCTCAGTTTGTCTGAGCTACATGCCAATTAAGAGAGTCTTCTGCCTGTGTTAAATGTCATCTTTTGCAGTGATTTGGGTGATGGGCATTCCAGCTTCTATTAAAACAGATAATGCCCCAGGCTATACTAGCCAAACTCTGGCTCCATTTTTCTATATGTGGAATATTAAACACATTACTGGTATCCTATAGAATTCTCAAGGACAAGCCATAGTGGAAAGAATGAATCTTTCCCTAAAAGAGCATTTGCAAAAGCAGAAAGGGGGAAATAGAGAATATGGAACCCCACTGATGCAACTGAATCTAGCATTATTAATTTTAAATTTTTTGAGCCTGCCCAAAGGCCAGATGTTATCAGCAGCTGAACAGCATCTACAGAAACCAGCTGCAAAGACAGAAGCGGAACAACTGATTTGGTGGAGATATCCAATAACAAAAAAGTTGGGAAATAGGTAAAATAATAACTTGGGGTAGAGGTTATGCTTGTGTATCTCCAGGCCAAAATCAACAACTGATTTGGATACCATCAAGACACCTGAAACCTTATCATGAGCCAGATGTCAAGGAAGAGATTCTGGGAGGATCCCAAGGACCCCCCGGTTGCAGTCATGTTGAGACTGACACTGAGGAGGACCCCAACTGTCACAAGCAACACCCGTTGAACACAGCCACTCACCTGGCGACAGATCAAGAAGCTGTCACAGATGGTGGAAGAAAACCTGAGGAAAGCAGGACAACCAGTCACAATGAGTAATTTAATGGTAGCTATGATAGCGATGATCACCATTGCCATGAGTATTCCTTCAACAAGGGCTGACACAGAGAACAATTACACTTATTGGGCATATTTATCAATCTTGGCTGGCAAGAATACCTAGATGTAATCACTCTGACACAGTTACACATGATTTCTGATCTCAGTATTTATCATAATAAATTTGCTCCTATAATTGAGGCATATTGCCCTCAAAAACCTATTTGTAAACAAAATTGAACCTGGCCAGTAAAAATGAACATGTTTGTTTAGGAAGACTGCATTGCAGAACAGTCAGAGGTGCTACACAATGATTCCTATGGAATCATTATTGATTGGTCCCGTAAGGGGAAGTTTAGCTTAAATTGCACCTCTCAGACTGCATGCTATGGCCACGCTATGTTCAGCTGGTCTGAACACAACATTCAGATGGTAGAAATGGCAAGAAGTATGGCAAGAGTTCCTGTTATCTGGAACCATGGTGGTATAGTGGTATCTCAATCTCACATGATATGGCCCGCTCTAGGAGCTTAACATAAGGATTTGTGGAAACTAGTAAAAGTTCTTAATAAGATCAAAATTTGGGAAAGAATAAAAAAAGCATCTAGAAGGACACTCTACAAACTTGTCGTTGGATATTGCAAAATTAAAAGAACAAATGTTTAAAGCATCCCAGGCACACCTGACCTTAATGCCAGGAACTGGAGTGCTTGGAGGAGCTGCAGACAGATTAGCAGCTAGTAACCCATTAAAATGGATATGAACACTTGGAAGCTCTGTGATTTCAAAGATTGTGCTTTTAATTTGTGTTGTTTGTCTTTGTATAGTCTGCAGATGCAGATCCTGACTCCTGTGAGAAGTAGCTCACCATGACAAAGCTGCCTTTGCTTTTATCAATTTGCAAATCAAATAAGGGGGACATGTTGGGAACAAGCCCCCCCCCCCGCAAAATCTGGCCATAAAATGGCCCCAAAACTGGCCATAAACAAAATCTCTGCAGCACTGTAACATGTTCATGATGGCCATAATGACCACACTGGAAGGTGGTGGGTTTACCGGAATGAGGGCAAGGAACACCTTGCCCGCCCAGGGCAGAGAACTGTTTAAAGGCATTCTTAAGTCACAAACAATAGCATGAGCGATCTGTGCCTTAAGGACATGCTCCTGCTGCAGTTAACTAACCCAATCTATTCCTTTAATTTGGCCCATCCCTTCGTCTCCCATAAGGGATACTTTTAGTTAATTTAATATCTATAGAAACAATGCTAATGACTGGCTTGCTGTTAATAAAACAATGCTAATGACTGGCTTGCTGTGAATAAATACGTGGGTAAATCTCTGTTCAAGGCTTTCAGCTCTGAAGGCTATGAGACCCCTGACTTCCTGCTTCACACCTCTGTATTTCTCTGTGTGTGTCTTTAATTCCTCTAGCGCCACTGGGTTAGGGTCTCCCCGATTGAGCTGGTCTCAGCAGACTAACCCTGCTTATTCCTGTGAACCAATCCGTGATCTTTGGCTGCAGCTCAGAAGAAACAAAAGTGATGGGTAATGTAAAAATCTGGATCAATATTCTAATTCTGGGCAATTATCCTGCAAATCCTGCTAGGTGATGGGGGTAAATGGAGTGGCCCATACGCAGAGGATTTTTTGAGGGGGAAATAAGACCAAGGTAGCTAACCAAAGCCAAGCTCCATGCACCAAAGTCTTAGCAGGCATAAGTATAGCCACCAGTTATCTGGGCATTCTGGCAGCCTCAGGATTTTTGGGCTGTCCTTACCTGCTTGTTTCCTTTGATCCATGTTTCCTAATAACCGGTTTGTCTCTTCTCACCTTCAGGCCATCAAACTTCAAACAGTAATGCAAATGGAGCCTCAGACAAAAGCTTCCTTGACTGGGAACCCTTGGATAAGCCTCTGAGATATCTGAATGTCATCTTCCCAAAACAATGGCCCCTGTCAGCATGGAGCGGTTAAGAGCTGTCAACATTCCTACTCCAATGGGAATTAGATATACCTCTTCAGAGGAGCAATTGATAGCAGCAGGAGGTAGACACTTCCCTAGATAGATAGGGATGGGTCCTCAGTGAAACCCCATCTTCCAGCCAAAAACAGCCTGAAGCCCTGAAGGTTGGACTACTGGCTCCAGATGAAGCCTGCGACACAGAGTGAGAACACTTTTATCCTGTTTGCCTGCTCTTTTCTGGTTGGTTCCTTCTGAATAATGCATTGTTTTTGTTTGTTTGTTTGTGTTTGTTTGTTTTGAGACACGGTTTGACTCTGTCACCCAGGCTGGAGTGCAGTGGCACAATCTTGGCTCACTGCAACCTCCACCTCCCAGGTTTCAGTGATTCTCTTGTGTCAGCCTCCAGAAGAGCTGGGATTACAGACACGTGCCACCACGCCCAGCAAATTTTTTTTTTTTTTGTATTTTTAGTAGAGATGCAGTTTCACCATGTTGGCCAGACTGGTCTCAAACTCCTGGCCTCTAGTGATCTGGCCTTGGCCTCCCAAAGTGCTGGGATTGCAGGCTTGAGATACTGCACCTGGTTCTGAACAATGCTTTTTAATCAATTGAATGTTGCCTTTTCCAATGCTACCTATGGCCCGCACCTCCCCTATTCTGTGCCTTTAATAAAACCCCCAAACTCAGCCACACTTGAGAGCTACCCGACTTCAGGTAGGGGGTTGCCCACTCCAGGTCCCACCTCCACTGAGAACCATTTTCTTGCTCAGTAAAACTCTCCACCCTGCTTACCCTCTGGTTTTCAGTATAACCTCATTCTTGAATGGAGGATAAGAACCCAGGAACTGCTAAATGCGTGTGCCAAAAAGGCTGTAACACTGTAGCCCTCTGCCCTCTGCCAGTGCCAGGCAGCCGTGCCACACAATGGGGGCCCAGACCTCAGGGTTCCCTGAGCCAGAACAATAGCACAACATAACACCCTCTTTGAAGTTCTATGATTTCTAGCATTTGCAAGTTTTTTGGGTGCCATTGTGTTCCTCTCGTCCAGATGCCAGCACCCAAGGCAGAAGCAGGTTACAGCACACCCAGCCCAGCCATGAGCTGATCACGGATTCCACAGCAAGTGCAGCTTGCTGGGCCAAGTGGTTAGGGTACCTCCAGCAGCAAGCCTAGAGTGGGTCTCCAGCTGGTGAAGTGGCACAGAAAAAAATCCTGCCTCATCATTACTTCTCCTCCTCTTACTCTGATACTCTTGACTCCCTCTTTTAAAAGCCCTTGTCATTGTATTGAACCCACCCATATAATACAAAGTAATCTTTATCTCTCAAAATTCTAAATTTTAATCATATCTGCAAAGTCCCTTTTGCCAAGTAATGTAAAATATGTTCTAGGGATTAGGGTGTGTACATCCTTGTGAGGGTGATTATTCTACTACATGAAAGTCTTGGTGTTAATACTGGGGATGTGGGAAGAACAGATTGTAGAGCTTAGTAATGAAAATGTGGAAACAGATATCCAACAGCCCTGAGACTGTAAGTAACTGGGGGTTCCTTATAATTTGAGAGATTACTGTTAGTCCAGTGCCCTAAGTGTGGAGGGAAAGCAGTACAAATGAAATGTCATAATTTCAAAGAAATACACACAGGGACTGAGGTTTCTCAATTATTTAGTAGTGGCATTCAGTTATATGGTTTCTCATGTTACTTGTCACTGTTTGTTTCAATGATTCCATGAAATGGTGAACAGAATCAGAAAGCCTCAGGGCTCACCTGGGAGTATAATAAACGTGGCAAGAAGAGACAGACGTATTTTAGGAACAGTCATGGTATTTGTAAAGAATATAGTTTTGTCAGAATTTAGCTGAAAATGCTCTAGGAGTTGGTAAGTTGCCAGTTTTAAGAACAATTTGGACAAAAATGTTGGTAATTAATCTTAAAAAATAGATTATTTTCATAGATAGCTGATGAGTTTTGCACCTATATAGCTTAATGAGACTTCCACATGTCTTGGCATATATTGTTTTCACAATCATGAGATAGCCATTGATACCCATATTTAACTGGTAAAGAACTTAGATTCAGAGAAGTTACTTCAGATTCAGATGAAGCAGTTACTTGATCTGCATCAAAGTTTCCCACTCCACATTTCTGTCCTTTTCTGTAGGGCTCTTTAGGTAGCAAATGATAAATACAAATGCATCAGATTCCAGTCAGAATTTCATTTAAATCAAAGTTGAATATTTTTCCTTCGTATTTCCCTTTATGTCCTACAGAGGAGGCAGTCTCATTCTCACAATTCTAGGAAGCCAACTTCCTACAATTAGTGAACTCTAGTTCTAGTCCACAGCATGCTTATGTGTAACTGGATAGTTTTAGGAATGTCAATGTGTGACTGAAATCTCAAGCTTGCGTGACAACACAGTATTCTTGTGTTTGGCGACTATCTGAAAAAGCATATGGTACAGAGGAAGGCTAATGAACACAGAGACCACATCTGCCACTTCCAAGCTGTGCAACTGTGGACAACTCTTGGAGCCTTTGTGTCCTCACATGTTAAATAGGGATAATATCTACCTTAAAGGATTAAATATATTTGAGGTAGGAGGCAGGACTCAGATGCCAGACCACAATGAGGACTAGCTAAAACAGGGCTGGGGTGACAGCAGCTTTCATTCAAACAAACCCACTAAGAATAACATGTCAATTTACTGTTGCCATGGCAACACCTGGGTGTCACCACCCCTTTCCATAGCAATGACCCAATGACCCAAAGGTACTATCCCTTTCCCCCAAGTTTCTGCATAAACCACCCCTTAATCTGCACACAGTTAAATGTGGGTATAACTATGACTCCAGAACTGCCCTGAGCTGCTGCTCTCTTCCTACAGGGTAGCCCTTCTTTGCAGGAGCAGTTACAGAGCTGTAACACTGCTTCTTCAGTAAAGCTATTTTCTTTTACCTCTGGTTTGCCCTTGAAATCTTTCCAGGGCAAAGCCAAGAACCCAGTGGGCTAAGCTCCACTTTGGGGCTTGCCTTCTCTGTATCATATTAAACAAGACTTTAAAACATGGAGCCCTGTCACATAGTAGACACCTAGAGAACACATTTTATGTTAACCTCCTCTGTCCCTTCTCCCTTTGCAAAAATGGAGTAACTATAGATCAAAAAGTTATTCTTTGTTCTAATCATCCTGACTTTTTGCAATTTCCCAAGAACTGAATGTTCTGTTTGATTTGGAACACAGTACATGAGTCTCTCTCCTTATATATTATCTTTATCTTATTCTTTGCCTACTAAATTCTTTTCATTTAACCAGGCTCATTTCACACAATATTTCTGACTCACTCTATAGCAAGATGTTCATTGGATTCCCCTCACACCTGCAGCTTCTTTCTCACTTTGCTGTAGTCACATTGGATTTTACCAACTCTGACCCAGGCTGTCCTGCGGGCTTCTTGGACAGCATTAATTCTTCTCCGTTCCCTCATTCTCAGTGCAATGCTTGCCACTCATTACCAGACCAGTCCTCTGAGAGATCAAATGAATGAAACAACGTCATCCCTGTCTTCAAATAGCTCACAGTCTAAAACGGAGATAGGTAAAACACAAACACTAAATCAAAGTAGATGAAATTATATTTAGGCAACTTGAATAAAACGCTATGAGAACACAGAGGAGAATGATTTATTCTCATAGGGGGGAGAATTGCCCCTAGAAGATTCAATGTATGGATGTAGGTGTAAGTGCACAGAGATGAAGCAAAGTCCATCTCTACAAGGATAACAGCACTGAAGACTTAGATTCATAAGCAAATAAACAAAAGATGGCAACCTGCATAAGAAGATAAGGGAACTGGTGTGGCTGATGATCAGATGTTTGGGCAGTTGGGAGAATAGGAGGGGATGCATCTGAGAGCTTCTTGAGAAGACTGGAAATACCTGAGTATTATCAGCTAAGTGAGTGGAGAAAACAATGGCATAAGAACTGAAGATCCTCATCCCAACCCCTCTCTCTCCTTCCTCTCTCCCTTCTTGACTCTCTCTGTCCCGCTGCCTACCAGCCATCTTTCTCTGTCTGTCTCTGTCTCTGTTTTTGTCTCCGTGCCTCATTTTCTATTTGTCTGTTTCTCTATCTCTCTGTTTTCTCTCTGTATGTGTCTCTATGTCTCTGTCTTTATCTCCCATCACTTTGCAGGCAAGGAAGATAGTGGAGAGATGGTATAGGTTGAGTAGGTTGGTAAAATTGAAGTCATTCAATTTAGCTCATAAATTTTATCTCCAAAAAATTATCTTATTTAGCATCTGCTGAGTGTTTTTCTGCCCAGAGACGATACACAGAACCTTTAACTGAGCCTGGGTCTGATCCTAGTCACATCTTGGACTATTGCCTAAACCTCCAAACCCCATTTACATGGGATTTTAGAAGAGCAGATTGGAATCCAACACTCAGAAATGAACATGTTAAACTCCTCTGCTGCTGAGTCAACCACAAGCCAAACTTACTTTGCAGCTAACACTTTATAATAGTTATGTGCTCAATAAATGTCCATCCCGAATATGGATTTCACAAAAATGCAACACTATAGCCACCCCAAGGGTTTATGATCCATAATTCATTTTGGAAAATGGCTTGATTCACTTGAAGCAGTAAAATCTGAGAACTTCATGGCTCATAATAATGTCAGAGGAAGCAATCTCCCATGCTAACTGTGTGCACAGAATTAAAGCCACACTGTCTAAACACTGCACTAAACTTGTCCCCACACAAATCAAGAGGGACCCACCCCTGAACACTCTGAGGAGTAATAATCAAGGCCAATTCATATTTTGTCATCTGAAAACCAGGAAATGTGCTGATATGAGCCTTCCATAGGAAATAAGCCATCAAAGAAAAATGGATTCTAGGTTCAATTTTTTGTGACCCTAATTGGGTTCCCATTTGACCTCAACTTATTTTCCAGCCACAGTTCTTGACACTTTTATTTTATACCCACATCATTTGTTTCCCTAAGAAAAGAGCTTCTCAGATTTCGTAGAATGAAGTGTGTTTCTACTCATTTCCAAGCATTTACACAAATGAATACCCCTCCCTACAATACACCTATTCATTCTTCAAAGTCAAATTTAATGCTACTTCCTACAGGAACTCTTACCATATGATATTATAATTAGAGGTCTTTTGAGGGCAGGAGCTGTCTATTAAACTTATTGGTACATAATAGCTGCTTACGTATTTTTTTATCTTGGTTTTATTTGATGTGCTGTAAGTGTGAGACACATAGGTAATATAATTTTGTAGTATATAAGACTTTAATCCAACAACACTATTTGATAGATTTGAAAGAAGAGGCAAGAAAAATCAAGACATTTAACCAAGATAAGTGGTAGAAGAGACATAACCAAACTGTCCACCTCTTTTTGGCCAAATGCCTGACTCTCAGTTAAGTATTTAGCTCTACCATGGCATTCTGCATTCTTTCAGAAGGATAAAATGAGATAATGATGCAAAGTGCTTACTACTGTGCCTGGCACATCTTTAATGCATCTACTAGATGATACTTATTGTTTGTATGTTATATTATTGCTATCACTGCCAATAGCTGGGCACCTGCCTTACACTTCAAAATTTTACATCTTCTTTTCATAAAAACACTACAAAGTAAATATTATCCTTAACTTATATACAAGAGAATAGAGGCTTATAGTTTTAAAAACTCTTGCAAAGGTCACCCTGTTACATAGGCAGTATTCAAACCTCATTAACTTTTATTGTTTTTTACTCTAATGTCCTTTCTTCATTTCCCCTAGCTCACATTGCCTTCGCATCCAGAGGAGAGTTTGGGCTGAATATCTAATCTCTGGGGAGATTTGTGGTCCTGCATTCTATAATGCTGTTGTCTTCCTGGGTAAAGGAATGTGTCCTGAATCAAGGAGCTTTGCCTAGGGATTGGACAATGGCTGCTTCCAGGGCACTGCACATTTGTTAAAGAGCTCAGTTGCAGAGCAGGTCATTTATCTGGTTCCAGTTTTGATCAGTCTAATTATTCATGATATGATTCGTCACAAAAATAATGTATTAGGATGAAAACATTCTTAAAACAAAGCAAAACAAAACATCAAGCTTCAGCAACTGCAGTTGCCAAGTTTGCCATCTTGATGGTGCTCCTGCAGTGCCTTTGGATGCAATGAAACCAGTCTCACCATTTGGTCAGATATTTTTCTCACGAGGGGAGAGGAATCGCATGAGCTCTTCGACAAATATTTAGTGAGCACCTGCTAAGTAAAGCATATGGAATGCATGATGGATGATACAAAGAAACAATGCAAATCTCTTGCCTTCAAAGACTTCGAACCCCTAGCACTGTAAAACATTGCTGAAGGGAGAATAATTTGTTATATTTACTTTGGGAAAGTGGCAGAAACTACTCAATCTAAGCATAATCTACCCCTGGATCAGGAACTGCACTCTGAGATATATGTCCAGGGGCAATGAGTGCACATGCCCCCAAAGACTTAAGAACATCTGAAGCAGCTTTGTTTATAACAGCCAAAAACAGGGAGGGAGGAAATCATCGACACTAGAATTGTGAATAAATTGCGATCTAGTCATACAGTGAAAAATAATCAGAAGCAAACAAAACACTACTGCTACACATATCAACATGGATAAATTTTTCAGTCTCAATATTGAGGAAAACAAGCCAGGTATTAAGAAGCACATATTTTATGATTCTGTTCACATGAAATACAAGGAAAAGCAAAACTAATCTAATAGAAGTCAATATAATACTTACCTCAGTGTAGTGAAGTGTTAACTGGGAAGGTGAATGAATATTTCAGGGATACTGCAAAAGTTCTGTGTCTTGATCTCCATGCTACATAGAAAGTATTCAAACTTCATTCTATATGTATGCAAATCTCTATCCAGAAGATACATTGAGCCATACCCTCAATATCTGAGCACTTTGTATATATGTATGGTATACCTCAATAACAAAAAGAAAGAAAAAAGCAAACAAGGCCAGGCACAGTGGCTCATGCCTGTAAATCACAGCACTTTGGGAGGCTGAGATGGGCGGATCATGAGGTCAGGAGATCGAGACCATCCTGGTAACACGGTGAAACCCCATATCTACTAAAAATACAAAAAAATTAGCCGGGCATGGTGGCGGGTGCCTGTAGTCCCAGCTACCCAGGAAGCAGAGGCAGGAGAATGGCGTGAACCCGGGAGGCGAAGCTTGCAATGAGCTGAGATCATGCCACTGCACTCCAGCCTGGGCGACAGAGCAAGATTCAGTCTCAGGAAAAAAAAAAAAAAAAAAAAAAAAAGCAAGCAAACAAACAAACAAACAAACAAAACAGTTGGATGTCCAGATGCTTACAAGATCAGAAACACTGAGATCTGCTAATTCTCTCATGTATTTTATATATGATAATTTTTTGAAAACAATTTATGGTTGTAATCATTGTATGATACGCTTTACTAATCAACTAGTTATTTCATTTATTTAATTCTTGAAAATATCTATAGAGGCCTGCACCATATACAGTTGGAATAAAGAGAAGATATGACTCAAATGCCACTCTAGATGACATTGGAAGTCAGATTGGGCAGTTACAAAAATGTTACCAGAAGCACGGGGGTTAGAGGTGCACAGTTAATGGGGTAATAGGGCTGTTAACACAAGAGCTTAGCTTTTAGGAGGAAAATTGTTATTTTACAGACATGGTGTGATTCACCTAGCCTAGGAAATCCAGAAGTATTTCCTAATAAGGTGAGTATGCTGCTTTTGAAGCCAAAAACCTGTGGATATTCTTGATCCGTGTTTTTAATCTTGAGAGGCAGCATTAAGTTATGCCAGTACCGGGACTTGAGGGAGCTTTGGGACTTAAACGAATGGTGTTTGTATTGTAGTCCCATAAGCACTTTTAGCATATGTGGCCTGTAAACCTGAACATTCTGAGATCCACCTTCTATAGCTGTGGAATGAGAACAAAACTGCCTGCAAAATTGTTTCCCAAGACATAAAGATATAAACTCAAACAACTTAGTGTGATTTATATGAACTTTTATGAGTTTCTCTCAATGATTTTCCAACTTCATTTTTTGTCTGTGCTTCTCAATTATTTATTGAGGGCTCTTAATAGCCAACACCCTGCCAGAAGCCAGAGATTGTGAGAAGGACAGAATGGAGCTATGTTCTGGTGGAAGGTGGACAGATGATAGTTAAATAAATAAGAAAATATTGTAATTCCAAAGAGGGCTAAATGCTACGAAAATTTTTAAATGCAGGACTTGTGAAAGGGGGCAGAAGTGTGGTTGACAATATTTTAGGTTGGGTAGTTGAAGAAGGCCTCTCTAAGAAAGTAGTATTTGAGCTGAGCTCTTCAGTGGATATCTTTTGAACCTCACCCCTCATTCTCTCCATCTCTCTCACTAAAGCTTTAGCAATCAGCTTCAAAGACTGCAAGCCAACATTTCCTTGCCTCAGTTACACCTAGTACCTCTTCTATTCTACTCAGTATGTATCTGAATTTGCAGTGTAAAATGCCTGCAGAAAACCATTATACCTTCACAGATGTACAAACCAAGAAGGACAAGAGAATTAACACACCAAGGCCAACGCTTGACCAATGGCAGATGTCATTCAGAAGATTAAGTTCCTTCTTTTTATCCTTTGGGTGGACAAGTGTAAGGTTCATTCTACGTGGCTTTTCAACAGTCACTGAGCCCAAACTGCCACAGCAGAAACCAGCTTAACAGTGTTCTTCCTTCTTCCCTGTCTCACACTTACCATTTACTAAGCTCTTCAGATAACACATCCAGGCTAAACTACCTGCATGAAAGTCTGTGTCTGAGGCTCTGTTTTCTGGCAAATGAAAAACTTTAATATTAAGAAAGAGCCAGCAATGCATAAATGAGGGGAGAAAGTTGTCTAGTAGGAGGAAAGAGCAATTAAAAATGTCTTGAGGCTTACTTTGCCAATCAAAAACCTGACCTTTCTCACTGCCCAGGGGGCTCCACAACTACGGATGGAATAGAATAATGAATTTTATGACATGAAGGAATCAGGGACCCCCAGTCCTTGGCATATTGGAGGAAAAGAAGGCCATAGTAGCCTAAGTGAAGGCGAAGGAAGGTGAAAGAGTATATGGAGAATTCAGCAAGAAGCAGCTCACACAGTCTTACAGGCCCAAGTAAGAAATATGAAAAGCCAGAATATTCTCCCTTCACTGGACTTTTCATTAGTTCTAAATATTCCACTTTCTTTGATTCCTTCACATGGCTCATTAGGGCCCTTCCTGTATGTAAAGTCTCATCTTAGCCCCTCTTCCCCACATCCTCTTTGTTCTGCCCACCTTGGATATATTTACTGTCTTTTAATTTTTTTAATTGTTTTTGATCATAGTCTATAACTTTGCATATGCTGTTTTCTATTCCTTGAGTATCCTGTTCTCCTTGCAAACATATTTGCTGGATAATGGCTATTATCTTTCAAGTGTCTTCTCAAAAGCAACTTTTTCAGGAAAGAATCCAATGATCCTTCTCTCACAAAAACTATTATATATTCTTGCTAGGAATCAACATATTTTCCTGAATGTTTTCATTATTTCATAATCTTTTTACTTTAAAAAATGTTTGACATTCTTCTTTTCTATCACATTACAAACTCTCTGAGTGATAATGTTTTCTTAATCACTGTTGTGAATCTGAATACTGAGTTCACTGTAGGTACCTGTCTTTGTCCATTCGGGTTGCTGTAAAAAAAACACCATAGACTGATTGGCTTATAAACTACAGAAATTTATTTCTCACTGTTGTGAAGGCCGGGAAGTTAAAGGTCAAGGCAATGGAAGACTCAGTGTTGGTAAGGGCCCACATTCTGCTCCATAGAAGTCCTTCCTTTCACTGTGCCCTCACATGGTGGAAGAGACTAAAGAATACTCTGAAACTTTTATAGAAAAGCACTAATCAGAGGCCACACAATCCTAATACCATCACCTTAGGGGGCAGGGTTTCAGCATATGTATTTGGGAGGGACACAAACATTCAGATCATAGCAGTATTTATCTGTATCTCATATGATAAAGATAAGTACTGATACGGTCTGAATCTTTGTGACCCTGCCAGACACAATGTATTATATTGTATATATGTAATTGGTTATATATGTGACTTCATTGTTGTCTCTGTTCCTTTGCACTTGTTGCTATTTCTGCCTGAAAAGTCCCTTTCCCTTCTAACTGTGAAAACACTCCATGAAGGCCTAACTGAAATTCTGCCTCTTAGTGAGATCTTTTCTTACCCATAGGTGTGTTAGCTTCAGTGGCAGACTGTAATTTGGCCATCGGATCTCTGCTTCCAATCCCAGTCTCCATTTTCTGATTCTTCTTTAAAGTCTGTAAAGAGTGAAAATTCCATTTATCCAATCCCCTCTCCATGAGGTCAAATAAACATAAATGGAATTCTTATATTCCTTTCTTCTTGATCTCTTGCTCCTGTCTCAGTAGGGACCTGAGGCATTAAGCATTAGCCATTCTGTAAGCAAGAAGTGAGAAGCATGAAGATTAAGCCAACATGCCAATGATAGAAGAGAAGAAATATTGAAAGAGCATCGGTTCTTGATGGTAGTACCAAACATCTGCATCAGTCCTAAATTGCCTATATCTGGACTTCTTTTTGGGCCAGAAAAATACCCCACCTCCTTATTTTTGTGAAATATAAGAGATGAATATGTTGTCTATATTGAAACTCCACCACACGTAAAGGCATTCAGAACTGAATACTTTAAAACATCTTGGAGACCATGTGAAGCATTAATAAGTAGAGGATTGTTTAGTGAAGCAATAAGAAATAGAGGATGAACTACAAAAAGAAGCAGTAATGTAAGAAGCTAAAGAGTTTTGGGGTAGACCTCTGGGGTCTACAGTAACAAGAGAAGATTGATGGAAAATAAAGAGGCAAACCCAAAGTTAGTAATTCATTTCAATATACATTTTTCACAACAGAGATTCCTTACCAATATGCCACAGATATTTGAAATATAGGCTAGGCACAGTGGCTTATTCCTGTAATACCAGCACTTTCAGAGGCTGAGGCAGGAGGATCGCTTGAGTCCACAGATTTGAGACTAGCCTTGGCAACATGGCAAAACCACATCTCTACAAAAAATATAATAATTAACTGGGCATAGTGGCATGTGCCTGTAGTCCCAACTCTCAGGAGGCTGAGGTGGGAGGATCAACTGATCCTGGCTCGAAGCTGCGGTAAGCTGCAGTGTACCACTGCACTCCAGCCTGGGTGACAGAGTGAGACCCTGTCTCAGCCAATAATATGTATATTATGTATAAGTAATCTTCATGAATAAAATTCATTGCAATCCATATGTCTCATGAGTCTCAGCTAATTTAAGTTCCAAGCCTGTAACAGAAGGAGGAATCTCCTCTGCTATATTTTTGCACAATATACTCAGTAAAGCAAATAGTTTACCTAAGTGGTATTGGCTTAACAAATTCCATAAGCATCATTTGCTGTTGGTGCTTTGATTCTTGGAAATTTTGAACATTTCTAGACAAAGCAAAAATATGTTAAAACTCTACCAAACATAGACGGTGTTTATAGAGACATGGAGTTTCATTCTAGGCTCAATTAATTATAAGGACTTTTCTGCCCTCATGAAATGACATTCAGCTGTTGTGAAGGATGCTGACCAGTCTTCTATGGGTCAATGACTAGCCTCTCACTTTCTTGAGTGAAGAGGCCTGGTTTTATTGTCAAATTTATGCCAGTTTAAATCACAGCTCCTCCACTGTGTAATGCATGTTAAGCTCCTTGAGTCTTAAGTCTCCTCAAACTGCAAAAAATGGGATAACGAAAATCCAATGAGATAAAACATATCAAGCAGCTCATATAGCTTCACATTGTGAATTAAATGGCAGATTTCTATCTCTGGATGAGATCCTTGTGGCCTAGCAACGCCAACAGAATGCAGCAGGTCTAAATATCATGGCTTGATGCACATTCCCTGACTGTATTGCAGCCTGACTTGAATCATCACACCACATTTAGGAGTGATGGTGCAGTGATGAGGACCACCTAAATCACCCTGAAAAGTGCCTAAGCATAAGAGAGCAGAATGTAATTATGAAACTGTTGGGGTTGATGAAGAGAAAGGAATGCTTAATAGAAAACTCAAATGTTGTTCATTATTCAAGGGAGTCTAATTAACGAAGATTTACTGAGGCAATGCTGCATGCCAGGCTCAGTCCTGGGCTCCAGGATATAGAAACTGATAAAGGAGACCCAGTCATTGGCTTTAAGGGGCTTCATCCAGGTGGAGTAAGAATAAGATATATATATATATACACAAAGTAAAGGGAGCACACGTTGTTTGTGATGTGGGCACTACTTTCAGAGAGTGATCCTTTCTGAGAAGTAACATTTGAGTGGTAACATAAGCAATAAGAAAAGGGCAGTCACAGCAACATCTAGGGCAGATCCCTTCTGCAGAGGGATTAGTGATCCTGAGAACTTGGCATGATCTAGAGTCAGAGAAAAAGCACTAATGTGGCTGGAGCCAAGCGAACAAGGGGAGCCCAGAGGAGATGAGCTCCCAGAGATGAGAGGACATGATTCTCTATGATTCTTATGGTCACATTAGGGGACTTCGACATTATTCTGAGTGTAATGGAAAGTTTTAGAAGGGCTCAGCAGAGGTGATAAAATTTATACTCTGAAGTTCAGGTTGATGAATGGAGAAGAGTGTAGTGGGAAAGGAGGCTGTGACAGAAATTGTTTCTCCAGGTCAAGACATAGTAACAACCACTAAGGAGATGCAGGGTAACCCTATGAATTAAAGTTACTTAAGGGACAAATCAACCAATTCCTGTTTGGATACAAATTTAATAAACACACTATATATTACATGCACATCTACATTTATATTTATTCATATGTATATTTATATATGTCTATATTTATATTTCTATATTTATATTTTTCTCTATATTTATAGATATAGCTATATCCATCTATCTATCTATCTATCATCTATCCATCCTTCTATCCATACAGTCGGCCCTTGGACAACTTGGGGGTTAGGGTACTATATCTTCACACATTTGAAAATTCGTGTATAACTTTTGACTCCCAAAAACTTAACTACTAATAGCCTACTGTTGACAGGAAATCTGACCAATGAATAATCAGTTAACACATATTTTGTATGTTATATATATTTTATATGATATTCTTACAATAAAGTAAGCTAAAGAAAAGAAAGTGTTATTAAGAAAATCATAAAGAAGATAAAATATATTTACTGTTTATTACATGTAATTAGATTATCATAAAGGTCTTTAGTTTCGCTGTCTTCAAATTACATAGGCTGAGGAAGAGGAGAAAGAGACGAGGTTGGTCTTGATGTCTCAGTGACAGCAGAGGCAGAAGAAAATCCATATATGAGTGGATCTATGCAGGTAGTTCAAACCCATGTTGTTTAAGAGTCAACTATACATAAAAATATACATACGGCTTAGTCAGTTTGGGACTGCTGTAACAAAATATTGTAGACTGGAAAATTTATAAACAACAGAAATTTATTGCTCATGGTTCTAGAGGCTGGGAAGTCCAAAGTGGAGGTGCCAGCAGATCTGGTTTCTGGTAAGGGCTCACTCTCTGCTTCAGAGACAGTGCCTGCTTGCTGTGTCCTCACATGGTCAGGGCCAGACAAGTTCCCGCCAGCCTCTTTTATAAAGTCACTAATCTCATTCTCAAGGGAAACCCTCATGACCTAGTCACCTCCCAAGGGCTCCACCTCTTAATACCAACAGATTGGGGATTACATTTTAAAAAAATGAATTTCAGAGGGACACAAACATTCCAACCATTGCAATGTACACTTACATATATATCCATGTGCATGCATGTGCCATTTATAAAAATGCGAGCACTGCCTCAATGTATGGCAATATTAAAATGGTGGGTTTTTAGATGTCAAAATGCCTTTGTAATTATGCTTTTTAAGAGTCCTTATCTTTTAGAGAAATATACTGATATTCTTTTCTAGGTGGGACAATATAATATCTGGGTTTAATCCAAATGAAAGTATGAGGAAGAGGGTGAGTGTGGATATAAATAAATAATGTTGCCCATAAAATATTCATTGTTAAAGTTGAGTGATGGATACATCAAGTTTTTTATTGTGTCTAATTTGGTATCTGTTTAATATGTTCCATAATAAAAACAGAGAGAGAAAAAAGTATGTGTCTCTCACCCTCATCTCTGTCTCTATGGTATGTGAATGAGGGGAGAGGATAAAGAGAGAGAAAGAGAGAGAGAGAGAGAGAGAGAGAGAGAGAGAGAATGGTACAGTGGTATGTGGGGTTTTGAGTACTTGAATGGCACCTTAGGTTACGATAAGACGTGGTCAGAGTCTAGAGTGTTTTAGAGGCAGAATGAACAGAAATTTCTGTTGGATGTCTAAGTCCCTGAGATTTTGGGACAACTATTTTACTCTGTAGGCTGTGCTGAGCCACTGAAAGTTTTTTGATCAGGAGACCCGTATGATCAGCTATGTTTGGGGCTGCAGCTGACAGCGCAGGATTAAAGCCAAGAGCTCTGGCACTTTTTCAACATAAGATGGCAACTTTGAGGAGTACCACGCTTTAGTTCTAAAAGTGTGTTTTGATCCCAATATGCCAGGAGCTTGCCTACCTCAGCTTGCCCATAATGTAATGTCTGTGATTAGCAATCAAGCACAAGATGAGGAATCCAGCTTCCTAAATGGATTAATATGCTAAAATTTTCATCAGCTATGAAAGCCTTGACCTATTCAGGCATTGTTAAACAAAGGCACTCTCTGGTTGCCTGCCTTTCCATTTAAGGTCCAGTGTAATCTGCTTTTCACATTCACTTACCCAAAGTATATAAAATATCCTAGACAGCAAAATGCTTCCCTAAAGAGTGTTAAGTATCAACCTTCTTCATTTGCCTATTTTTGGAGAAATTTGAGCTGCACTCTGGATAGAAATTGTAAACTCCTGGGATCCCAGACATTTCTTTGATTTTCTCCTTTAATTTCTTACTGCTTCTCTCAGATCCATTAATGAAACACTCTATGTACATCTAAAGAAGAGATCATTTAGACGATGTGTTAATAAGCACACCTTACAGAGACTCTCCTGTATTTCTTTTAACATAAGACTTGTTCGTCTGAGGTAGCCTCTCTTGCACCTCAGATAACCTCCAGTGAAATACAGCTTTAGGCATATTACTCTTTTTCCACTGCCAGTTTGTAAAAGCCTCAAAAAGAAGCAACCGAATGTACTAGCTAAAAATTAGTTTTTGAGGCTGGAACAGTTGTAAGTCTAAAACTCAACCGTGGTACTTAGAATTGATGCAATGTTTTAAAGACTCATCTTATTCATCTCTAACATAGGGATAATAGGACGTTTTCATAAAATTGTTGTCATCAGCAATGAAAGCCTTGACCCATCCAGACATTGTTTAAAAAAAGGCACACTTGAGGTGCCTACTTTTCCACTTAAAGTTCAGTGTAATTTGCTTCATAGGTTGAAGTCCAGTGTAATCATGCTTCATATGTTGCATGATATGAAGCATGTAAAGTAGTTACCAGGGAATCCAGCCTGTGGTGAGCAGTCAATAAATGTTATAATTGTCAGCTATTATTTTTATCAGCCAATGTCACAATGTCACATATTCATGTCAATGATCTGCATAAGTTGAACTGCATTAGTTAAAATAATCAGTAAGTTTTTATTGATTACTATGGCTACATTACTAGCTCTCAGACCATGCATTCAACAGCAACAGTCTTTCTCACGTTTGTCAAAGATCAGATAGTTGTAGATATGCGGCATTATTTCTGAGGGCTGTGTTCTGTTCCATTGATCTATATCTCTGTTTTGGTACCAGTACCATGCTGTTTTGGTTACTGTAGCCTTGTAGTATAGTTTGAAGTCAGGTAGCGTGATGCCTCCAGTTTTGTTCTTTTGGCTTAGGACTGACTTGACGATCAGGGCTCTTTTTTGGTTCTATATGAACTTTAAAGTAGTTTTTTCCAATTCTGTGAAGAAAGTCATTGGTAGCTTGATGGGGATGGCATTGAATCTATAAATTACCTTGGGCAGTATGGCCATTTTCACGATATTGATTCTTCCTACCCATGAGCATGGAATGTTCTTCCATTTGTTTGTATCCTCTTTTATTTCATTGAGCAGTGGTTTGTAGTTCTCCTTGAAGAGGTCCTTCACGTCCCTTGTAAGGTGGATTCCTAGGTATTTTATTCTCTTTGAAGCAATTGTGAATGGGAGTTCACTCATGATTTGGCTCTCTGTTTGTCTGTTATTGGTGTATAAGAATGCTTGTGATTTTAGTACATTGATTTTGTATCCTGAGACTTTGCTGAAGTTGCTTATCAGCTTAAGGAGATTTTGGGCTGAGCCAATGGGGTTTTCTAGATATAGGGGAAAGGATTCCCTATTTAATAAATGGTGCTGGGAAAACTGGCTAGCCATATGTAGAAAGCTGAAACTGGATCCCTTTCTTACACCTTATACAAAAACCAATTCAAGATGGATTAAAGACTTAAACGTTAGACCTAAAACCATAAAAACCCTAGAAGAAAACCTAGGCAGTACCATTCAGGACATAGGCATGGGCAAGGACTTCATGTCTAAAACACCAAAAGCAATGGCAACAAAAGCCAAAATTGACAAATGGGATCTAATTAAACTAAAGAGCTTCTGAACAGCAAAAGAAACTACCATCAGAGTGAACAGGCAACCCACAAAATGGGAGAAAATTTTCGCAACCTACTCATCTGACAAAGGGCTAATATCCAGAATCTACAATGAACTCAAACAAATTTACAAGAAAAAAACAAACAACCCCATGAAAAAGTGGGCGAAGGACATGAACAGACACTTCTCAAAAGAAGACATTTATGCAGCCAAAAAACACATGAAAAAATGCTCACCATCACTGGCCATCAGAGAAATGCAAGTCGAAACCACAATGAGATATCATCTCACACCAGTTAGAATGGAAATCATTAAAAAGTCAGGAAACAAAAGGTGCTGGAGAGGATGTGGAGAAATATAAACACTTTTACACTGTTGGTGGGACTGTAAACTAGTTCAATCATTGTGGAAGTCAGTGTGGCGATTCCTCAGGGATCTAGAACTAGAAATACCATTTGACCCAGCCATCCCATTACTAGGTATATACCCAAAGGACTATAAATCATGCTGCCATGAAGATACATGCACACGTATGTTTATTGCGGCACTATTCACAATAGCAAAGACTTGGAACCAACACAAATGTCCAACAATGATAGATTGGATTAAGAAAATGTGTACATATACACCATGGAATACTATGCAGCCATAAAAAATGATGAGTTCATGTACTTTATAGGGACATAGATGAAATTGGAAATCATCATTCTCAGTTAACTATCACAAGAACAAAAAACCAAACACCGCATATTCTCACTCATAGGTGGGAATTGAACAATGAGAACACATGGACACAGGAAGGGGAACATCACACTCTGGGGACTGTTGTGGGGTGGGTGGAGGGGGGAGGGATAGCATTGGGAGATATACCTAATGCTAGATGACGAGTTAGTGGGTGCAGCGCACCAGCATGTCACATGTATACATATGTAACTAACCTGCACGTTGTGCACATGTACCCTAAAACTTAAAGTATAATAAAAAAAAATAGCAACAGTCTACATCTCAAGTATTGTGGAGAATTATTTAAACATAAAAAAGTAACTTTTGGAGTAGTGGAGTTTATGATTTGTATTATACTGAGGCATTATGTTAATAACTATTGGACCATCAGTTTTGTGTACAGTCTTTATTTATCCAGTTATCATCAGGACACATAAGAACTAGTATTAAAGTTAGAGAGTACTATTTCTCTGGCAAAATGGGGGGAGGTGAAAAAGCAGTGATTCAGGGGAGAATAAAGGGATTTTATGAAAAACATAATGGAAATGCCTGGTCATGGCACTAGCCGTGTCATCTCAGGCCATAAACTAACCTATGGAGCCTAGCTTTTCTAGGCTGTAGAATGTGATTAATAAAGTCTGTATCATAGAGCATTCATGATGAATCAATCGATGCCTCTGGAAGGTACTAGCACTAGTACTGAGATAGAAATCACTTAAGATATCATATGCACACGTATGTTTATTGTGGCACTATTCACAATAGCAAAGACTTGGAACCAACCCAAATGTCCAACAATGATAGACTGGATTAATAAAATGTGGCATATATACACCATGGAATACTATGCAGCCACAAAAAATGATGAGTTCATGTCCTTTGTAGGGACATGGATGAAGCTGGAAACCATCATTCTCAGTAAACTATCACAAGGACAAAAAACCAAACACCGCATGTTCTCACTCATAGGTGAGAATTGAACAATGAGAACACATGGACACAGGAAGGGGAACCTCACATACTGGGGCCTGTTGTGGAGTGGGGGGAGCGGGGAGGGATAGCATTAGGAGACATACCTAATGTTAAATGACGAGTTAATGGGTGCAGCACACCAACATGGCACATGTATACATATGTAACAAACCTGAGCATTGTGCACATGTACCCTAAAACTTAAAGTATAATAAAATAAGTAAATAAATAAATAAATACATATGACTAAGAATACAAAAAAAAAAAAAAAAAGAAATCACAGCTTACACCCCTGCCTCCTCACCTATTCTATCTACCTCTGACAAGAGCATTTCAGGAATTTTAGCACAGCCCAAACCACCCTTGACTATCTAAGGGAGAGCATAAAGTAGAATATAACTAAGAAGCAAAAAGAGAATGCGGCTCATTGCATCCTTAACATTTACAATGGGCTTGCCAAGTTCTGGGCTCCAAAGATGCAAAGCCCTATGCGGGCCTTCAAATGGTCTGTTGCACTGTCTGCTTTTCATTCCTGTATCCCAGTGAGGCCAGGTGGTGTGGTGCTTGGGCACATACCGTCTCTGAGTCCTAGGGTAGCCAGAATGGCCTTCTCCTTTCTCTTCTCCAGTGTCCAAATTCAGTGTGACCTTCAGGAGAAAGACAGGGAAAATAGAGACATCCTGCCCAGTTTGCAAAATTTTTTATTTTGTGACTCATAAAATCAATCAGTTTCTCACATTTGTTTTTTTTAAATCACGATTATAAAATCAGTGCATATTTATTGCATAAAAGCAGAATGTTCAAAGTAAAAATTGCCCATATTAAAGATTTAGACATATGGAAGTGTGTGTGTGTATATGCGTATGTGTGTGTGCATATGTATGTGTTCTCTTAGTCTAAGAATACACTTTCACATTATGATTATCTATGTCTTTAATGCAGAAGGAATATATTGTCTTTGTTAAAAATACGTACTACAAAGTTAGGCAGATCTGAGTTAACATTCCTGCTTTATCACTTTCTGTCTATGCAACTTTGAGCAAGTTGCTTAATAAATCTAAGCCACAATTTTGTGGATTTAATAAAATGTATGTGAAACATTTTATACAGATAATTACAAATAAAAAATTAAATATATGCTGCATATTGTCATTTTTATTAACAGTTCTTCTGTATTTCTTCATATCTCTAGAATTCTTTAAAATCACATTGTCACTGGCTGTACAATATTCTTTTCTGAGCCCAGCACAAAATCAGCACCATGTAAAAAGCTACAAATAAGTAAGTGTATGATAATTTACTTAAACATCAATTTCTAAAAGCTTTCCCAGTATTATAGCTAAAAATAATTCATTGTTTCAAATTCTATTATTTATTTACATTTGCATTTTCTTTCATTTAGTTTTCTGCTCATATCCTTGGCTCATTTTTATCAGTCTTAATTTTCATCATAATGTATATTTTTATATTAACTTTTAAAGGTTCCAAATATTTACACTGATTTTATGGTATGAATCAGAAACATTGCATGACACACAATGAAGCTCTCCTTTTGGAATTCAGGAATCTGGAATTTAGACCTGGTTGTACCATTTACTATTTGTGTGACCCTCAAGAATTCCCCTAAACACTTGTTCTTTATTATTATTTTTGTTTGCACCCTTCCCTTTCTTGTTCACGGCAAGTCTATACAACTTGGGCGAGAAAGAAATTCTACAATAAAACGTTGAATGATTTTACTTCAAATTCAAGCTACTAAGTCTTATATATCTAGGCCTTATCTTCCCTTGGGTGATGTACTTCCTATAAATCTCAGTGGTTTTTGAAAAGGCCCCTGCTAGGACTTTACAAGATCTACCTATATGGAGTAGTTATTTTTCCTTATTTGCAGAAGACAATAGACTATATGTTGACTAGAAGAAGGTTAGCTAAATGTATGTATGAGCCAGAATAAAATCATATACTGCAATCAATTTATTGCTAATACATTTCCTATTAATTATGTTTACTCCACAAATACATTTAGGTCAAATGTCATCAAATATAAATAGCCATCCAGCATTATAATCCCTTAAAATAAACAAAATATATAATTTCTATGAGGGACAGCCATATTTCTGCTTTAATTTATGTACCTGAGTACTATCCTGCAAAAGCAAAACCAACTCAATAATTTAAATATAGTCCAATGCCTTGACTGGTTTTCAACATAGCAAAGACAAAAGCTGTAGTCATGATTGGTGGCCTAGCCCTTCCCATTCAATAATCACTTTCCTTTTTCTCTTCAATGCTTTTGGATTGATGCAAATACATGAAGAAACTGTATGAAGAGAAAATAAACAAAGAGAATTACAAACAAAGGGAAGGAAATTGTTATTATGACAAAGGAAACAAATGCAATAGATTTAGCCATATCGGAAGTTCATAGTAAATACGAAAGAAGAATTATATTTCATGGTGGAAGTAAAACAAAGTAAGAACTCAAAAGAAATAAATGCCTCAGTGAACTTTTCCTTTTCCCTTTCTGTTCAACTGAATACTCCATGATTCATTCACTTCGAATATGTGTGCTCCAGCACTGGCCATATATAAACCTAACATTCCTGCTATTTACGCTCTTTCTCATTTCGAAGTGAGAAACCTCTGGAAGCTTCCCTAACTCCTCAGGCCATGAGAGAAGTTCTAACTGCATAAATGCTCAGCATAGCTTTCCAGAATCATTTCCATCTTGTGGTTGCTCACAGAGTCTGTGCACACACACTAATTTTGTGGTGTGAATCTGAAACATTGCATGACACACAGCAAAGCTCTCCTTTTGGAATTCAGGGATCTGGACTTTAGAGCTGGTTGTACAATTTACTATTTGTGTGACCTTCAAGAATTCCCTTAAATTATTTCAATGGTCTGATTTAAAAGAGAGAAGGAATGCTCTTTTAGGTGAGCAAAAGTATTATATCTAATAATGTATGTGTGCATTGTAATTTTGTGACACATAAACTGCCTCATAACATTTATAACTAACTTATTGACAAAAGTATATAGGGATGTGCATACTTGCTAATTGTCTTAATTCTATTGCATTGATTCTACTTTTAGTTACTGATCACCCTATGAATTATCAAACAAGCTATGCATGTGTGGAGGAGAAATACAGTTTAGATTACAACCTTCATGCCATACATCCTTGAATGTCATAGTGTCAATAAGAGTTTGCATGTTGTAAATACCTAATAAATGTTTGCTGAAAGTATATGTATTGAGTCTACAAATGAATAAAATTATTTGCAAGGTCTGAGAGAGAAAGCCACATGCTTGCAAATAAATAAAAATGTTAAACAGATTTTGACTTATTTCATTTTCACCTAGACCTAGACACTTGCTCCAAAACATATTCATACCCGGTTCAGGGTTCATGTCCAAAATATAGAAGGAATTTGTACAACCCAAAAGGAAAAAACTCTGGTCAAAAAATGGACAAAGGATTTGAACAGATATTTCTCTAAAGAAGACATACAAATAGCCAATGGGTATATGAAAAGATGCTTAACGTCATTAACTATCAGAGAAATACTTATCAATGCCACAAATAATATCATGTCACATCTGTTAGGATGGCTATTGTTAAGAAAATAAGAGTTGGCAAGGATGTGAAGAAATTGGGACTCTTGTACACTGTTGGTGGGGGAATGTAACATGGTGCAGCTGCTGTGGTAAACAGTATGGATTTTTATCAAAACACTAAAAATAGAGCTACTTATGATCCAGCACTCTGATTTCTGAATATTCATTAAAAAATTAAAATCAGGATCTGAAAAAGATTTTTGCACTCCCATGTTTATCGCAGCATTATTCGCTATAGCCAAGATATGGAACCAAACTAAATATCCGTCAGTGTATGAGTGCATAAGGAAAATGTGGTAAATACATACAATGAAACATTATTCAGCCTTAAAAGAGAAGGATTTCTGACGTGTGATAATGTGAATGAACCTTAATGATATTATTTTAAGGTAAATAAACCAGTCATAGAAGAACAAATACTGCCTGATTCCACTTACATGAAGCATCTGTAATAGTCAAACTCCCAGAAGTGGAGAGTAGAATGTTGATTGCCAAGAGATGGGGAAAGAGGAAAATTGAGAGTTGTTGTTTGATTGGTGTGAAGTATTGATTTTTCAAGAAGAATGAGTTCTGGAGATCTACTGTATAATATTGTGCCTATAGTTAACAATATACTTAAAAATCTATATACTTAAAAGTTGTTTAGAGGGTAGACTCCTGTTAAATGTTCTTAGAGCAGTATAGATAAACAAGTAAATAAATAAAAATTAAAACAAAAACACCAAAATGATATCTGATTGAAGTTAATGTCAAAACATAATTTTATTTGGAATTTACATAGCTGAAATAACATACTTGTATGTATTAATTAATAATATAGCAAAGAACGAATAGTATTATTTTAATCCCCTAAACCAAAGTCTCAGAATTATAATACCAAATTCATAAAAAATCTTATATTTACCCATAAATGTGGATCTTAAAGGGGGAAATTTTTTGGTACCATGGGATTATTAAAAAAATAAATAGACATTGGTGAAGATTCTTATTAGGTTTAGGGTTAGTCTCAAATATCTCAGGTTGAGAAAAATGAAACATGGTTCTGTTTCTTCAAAGATCCTAGGGAATCCTGAACAATATTGTGTGTTGTTTGGTTCAGAAATAGAATTAAAATGTCTAACAGAAAAAAATAATAAAAATTTGAACTTTTATATGTGAAACAAATAAAAATTTTCCTAAGTTAAATCTAATGAAGCTACATGGAATAAAATAATAAATGTTTTGAAAAGAGGAAAACACTATAAAGCATTGTCTCCATGAAATAATAACAAATAAACATTATCTGAAATCCATATCCTTAGTCAACTAATTAGATGAAGAATACCCAAGAATGGGTGAAAAGAAGGTAATATTAATACGTATGGGGTTTTTCATACTCAATTCACAACATCTTAATGAGCACTTATATTTCCAAGAGAATATAGAGGACTATGTCTTTGAGGAGAGCTCAGCTTTAATTACCATGTGTCAGAAGCTGTTTAAATGGCTCACAAAGAAGTTTAGAAAGTTAAAAATTCCTAGACCTATCCAAATGAACAGTTATCATTTGTTACATTTTGGAAAGGATTCTGAAGAAATTAACAGAATCATAGCCTGATAAAACTCTTCTGCCCAAATCAGAATTTCTATTCCTATTACAAAAATGCCTTTATGACCCTGAGTAAAGATTCAAAACTACTTTTCTTATTATAAATACAATTTACATCATTTCTGATTTTTCAATGATCAGTGTATTTTTTTCCTTAAGTGCAAATATTTATACTTTGTCTTAAATGGAAAGTTCATCCAACCAACACTTTCTTCTAGTCATGTGTTTGTGTTTTTTAGAGACATGCAGCCTATTTGGCAGAATAAAATGTAAATGAAATATTCTTTCTTTTTTTCTCCATATACAAACAGAGCGTTTTGTGTTCATTCATTGTAACGTTTCTGTTGAAGTGCTGTCATTTGCTTATACCAATCTTTGGCACATAAAGTGTTTATCAGATGCCTTCTGCATAAGTGATCCAAATTTAAAATAAAAGATGGAACTGAAACTTTTTATTCAGAAAATATATCCCCCTGTTTTTAAGGTGATTTAGGTTTGATGTCGAGATATATTGTATCATGGTGGACTAGAAAAGTGTTCAGTGTCTTATGTATGATTTTGTGTTAAGTCATGTATAATCAAGTATAAGTTTTCAAAATTAATGTGTTTTTCTTTCTCACCTGTAGTGTCACAGAGTTTTGTAAAATTCATGCATTTGTCTAACTCTGCCATCCCTTAAAGGTCAGGCAGTTCTTGGTTCTTGATGGGGTTCTCATTACTGGTCAGCATATTTTATCTATGAATCGCCAGTGATAAGGAAAATTGTTTGGCACATGATAGATATTCAATTAAATATATTAAATTGAATTGAAATAGAGCCTCTGACTGTCTTTCAGAGCCTTTTTTCTTTAAGAGGAAATATTATATACAGAAGGCAGTTTTTAAAAATTACACTTGCGACTGTTTCAAACATAAATACTTTATGAATACCAACATAGCTTTTTCATTAACAACACACGTCACGTGTGAGCTACAGAGTCCAGGAAACAGGTTTGGGTCTCAGTTTCCCTATCAGTGAATTAAGAGAATTTGATAATTGTACAAGTAATCTCTGGCTCTAAAATCTGATGTTCCTTTGAACAGCAAGAAAATATCTGGGATGTGATAGATTGTACAACTTGGCAGCAGCTAGGCTGACAGTAACAGAATAATAGATGTCTACAATGTCTTCCAAGCCAGGCTGAGCTAGGGAGCCAACAAGGGTGGCATACAGGAGGTCCTTTCTAAACAGATTCAGTACAGCTCCTAGTGCTACTCTGAGCTAAGCTATGCCTTTATTAAGCATGTGGCATCAATTACAGCAGTCTTCTTCCACCTACAGTGCAACCCAAGAGAAGCACAAGAGCTGCAGGAGGCTTCCATCATCAGTCAAACTGTTGTTATCAGCTAACTCCCTCAATTGGCCATATGTCTTTTCATTGACACTCTCCCCTACCAGATTATTAGGAGACAGCCATGCAAAGGAATTTCTAGCAGATAACTTGTAGGGAGATGCTTCAGAGCCAGCCTGCTAGTTATTAGAGCATTGTGGTAGAAAACACTTTTTAGAGAACTGGTTTGGGAGTGCAATATCTATGATATTTATTCTGGATTTAAAATTTATTAGATTTGTGATTTTGAACAAGTGACTTCCTCTCTGGACTTTACTCTTTACTGTATACATCCCTCAACCATAATAAAAAGATGTCACAGGAGTGAGGTCAAAAATTACAGTTTATGCAAAATTCCTTTGTATAAAACTGAGTTCATATTCACACATAGACAAACTCGCATACATGCACACACAATTATTCGTAAGAGATTTTGTAAAAAATGTTCTATCTTTCTCTCCTGATTCTCTGGTACATATAATCTGTGTCTTATAATAGAACACTCAATAGAGTAGTCTTTCTTTTCCACTCTTGGATGTTTCTTTTTTTTTTTTTTTTTTTTTTTTTTTTTTGGAGACAGAGTCTCGCTCTGTCCCCCAGGCTGGAGTGCAGTGGTGCGATCTCGGCTCACTGCAAGCTCTGCCTCCCAGGGTGTTTCTTTATTCTTACACCCAGATGTGAACTTCTTTGAGGAACAGTGCACCAGCCATTTTATTTGTCTGTACTTTCAGCACCAGGTGCTCATGCTCTCAGTTCCCAGACATTGGAATATACCCTCCCCTTTGCTCCTCGTGGAAATGCGGTCTATGGCCTTGTTCAAATATCTATTCCAGAATTCTCCTTGAAAGTCACCTTCCTTCTTGATGCTCCAGTTGGCCCATTTTCTCTTTGCTTGGGTTCTATTTTTTTACATTATCTAAGAGTAGTTTACTCAATGATATGTAAATTTGAAACATGTTCAGTGAGCAGCCACAATTATTAAAAGCAATGTGTGAAACACTCTGGAAAACTAAACAACAACAACAAACAAACAAACAAAACCAGTCACTAGTCACAAATCTTGCCCCCATCTCTTTTCCCCTGTATTACAAAATGGTAAAGCAGATAAGGCAAGCAATAAGCATCTATAATTCAAGATTAGAATTAAAGATAATAATGCTTCTATTGGCATGTAATTATTGTTGGATGCCAAGGAAAGAGAGTGATTCTCATGGGGAAGATTTGGGAGACAGCACAGAGGTTCAAATTCTTCTATGTCTCCAACTATGGGTCCTTTGACTTCTCTATGTTCCCTTCTTTGAGTTGCATTTTTTTTTAGCTTCCCAATAAAATGTTCTTGTTTATACAGGGCTCATCTATGCCCACCACTTCTACCACCTGCATGAATGGATAACTTGCAAATGTATGCCACATTCCTAGAACTGCAGTCTAAGCTATACCGTTCAATAAGTCTATCCCATTGTTTACCAGACTCCCCACCAGGTTGCCCCTCAGATCCTTCTGTATTAGCAGGCTCAGAAATTAACTTATTTTACATTCCCCCTACTCATGCTACTTTCTTTTTACCTATTTTAATTACTGTCCTATTATTAACACTACCAGAAATATTTAATCCCTTTATATAACCAGGCAGTAACCCCTAATAATTCATTTTGCTTAAGATAGTTCCTATCTACCTCATATTTGCACCAATTACCAAGATTTTGGCTGAAAATACTATTTTTCTGCATTGTTGCAATGTTCCATAACTGTTATCTGTGTTTCAGTTTTCACCATTCTTTATCTCCCACATTGATGGCAGAGTGCTATTGCTAAACTGCAAATCTGACCATATAATTTTCATGCTTAATATTTTTAATGACTTGCATTGATTTTGGAATCAGGATCACCAGCAAAGCACACAGTTTTTACTGTTACACTATTGTTGATCCCTGACAAAAGAATTTGAAGCTCCTAAAACTATAACATTTTAAAAGTACAGGTGTATTTAAATATTTGGTGTTCATGTTGTGTCTTTTCTGTCTCAACTCACATCATTTCACTATTCATTTAATAAACTCAATAATCTTATTTAATATGACACCAAAGTTCTTATGAAACTTAGCCTCATCCTCAAGAAAAGTTTTAAAACTTTCACATTACTACTTATGTATATATTTTGGAAGTGTAGACAGTTGAAAAATTATTTTACATTATTTTAATCAATGGGGCTGTTCAGAACAAGAACATTTCCTTATTTAGCTTTTATTCTCTAGCACTCAGTGCAATACTGAAAACATAGAGAAGCTCAAAACTTTGTTGGCCACTTCCGTTGAGTGACTAATTTAACACAAAAGATGAAAACTCTGGACCTCCCCAAAAAAACATGAACAAAGGCAAAAACAGACTGTTTGAGGAGTATGAGCAAAACTGTCTCATCAGACCTTTGGGAGAAAATGATCATGTATGCTTACCTTGATCATCTATAGCATGTGTACAGATGAAGAAAATATTTTTTTTTTGTTTAATAATGCCAACATATTAGACCGGTAAATGAGTGATGTTGAAATTTGGAACATTTCCTAAGAAGGTATAGTTTACTACCTTTTACAGGTTGATCATCCCAAATAGGAAAATCCAAAATTTGAAATATAGTACTCCAAAATCTGAAACTTTTTAAGCACTGAAATTATGCCACAGTGGAAAATTTCATATGTGACCTCATGTGATGGGCTGCAGTCAAAATGCAGGTCCACAACACATGATTTATTCAGCATTCCCAAGAGTGAGAACCTTCTTAGCCCGCTTCAGCTGTAATATATATTATTTACTTATGCCCAGATTATTCCACATAAACACAAAGTGCAATAAAATAGCACATGTACAGGGTGGCTGTGCCAACAGCAGGTTCCTCACAATGCTCCAAATGGGGCCAAGACCTACATCCATTAATTACTGTGTTTGTGTTTTTTTTTTATTATTATTATTCTCTGCTCTGCAATGTAATAATTTTGTTGAAAATTTCAAAAAAGGCCAGGCTTGCTGGCTCACTCCTATTATTCCAGCACTTTGGGAGGCTGAGGTGGGTGGATCACCTGAGGTCAGGAATTCAAGACCAGCCTGGCCAACATGGTGGAAACCCTGTCTCTACTAAAAACAAAAAAATTAGCTGGGCGCTGTGGCAGGTGCCTGTAGTCGCAGCTACTTGGGAGGCTGAGGCAAGAGAATTGCTTGAATCTGGGACGTGGAGGTTGCAGTGAGCCGAGATCACACGACTGCACTCCATCCTGGGTGACAAGAAGGAAACTGTGTCTCAAAAAAAAAAAAAAAGGCCTATACATATTCCTATGGGTAAAAGTATTAAGAAAAAGTGGAAGCATTTATGCTTATCTATAGCACAGAAAGTCAAGCTGTTGGAGAAACTGGACAGTGGTGTAAGTGGAAAACGTCATGCAGAAGTGCATGGTGTTGGAATGACCATCGTACATGACCTAAAGAAACAGAAAGATAAATTGTTGACATTATATGCTGAAAATGATGAACAGAAGTTAATGAAAAATAGAACATAAGCCATTGCAGAAAGATAACAATGAAGATTTTGATCATGTTTTTAAAGAGTGGATTCATCAGAATTACAGTAAAGAGATGCCACTTAAAGGTATGCTGATCATGAAACAATCAAAGATCTGTCATGATGAACTGAAACCGAGAGAAAAAGTAAATATTGAACACGCTGATTGCAGAACTATCAGAAATAATGCAGCATTAGATTTTTAGATATGTTTTGTTTTAAAGCATCTGCTGATCATGAAAGAGCAGAGAAATTAATTGATAAGTTCACCAAGGCTATCACTGATAAAAATAGGACACCAGAGTAAATCTACAATGCTGATGAAACATCATGGTTGTGGTGGTGTTGCCCTAGAAAGTCATTGACTACAGCTGATGAGACAGCTCCTATAGAAATTAAGAATATCAAGGACAGAACAACTGTGGAGAATGTGCTAATGCAGCAGGCGTGAGTAACTGTAAACTTGCTGTGATGGGCAAAAGCACGCATCCTCCCTGTTTTCAAGGAGTAATTCTTTTACCAGTTCATTCTTATTCTTTTCCAATTGGTTTCACAAATACTTTTTACCAGTGTCTTATACTCAATGAAGGAAAGCAGGACTAGATAAAGGTTGCATTATTTTATTATTTTTTGGTGACTATTCTGCTCCTTCTGCAGCAGAATTTTTAATAAAAAGAAATGCTATGTCACAAACTTTCCCTCAAATGTGACTTCATTAATTCAGCCATGTGACCAGGCTATCCTTAGATTGATGAAGAGTAAATACAAAAGCACTTTCTTGAACAGCATTGTAGCAGTGAACAAAAGTGTTGGTGTGGAAGGTTCTCAAAAGGACTTTAGCATATATGATGCTACATGCTTGGAACACAGTGACAGAAGACACAGTTGTACATGCCTGGCACAGCCTCTGACCTGCAACTATGTTCAGTGATGATGATGAGCAAGGTGGTGACCTTAAGAGATTGCATACGTCAAGTAAAGAAAAAGCCTGCACTCCTTATATATGCAAAAAATTATACTTTCAGAGTCCATTGGTAAACTGGAAGAAGTAGATCTTGAAGCAGTTTTTAATATCAATAATGAGGCTCCAGTTGTTCATTCATTGACTGATGGTAAAATATCAAAAATGGCTCTGAATCAAGGTGATGTTGATAATAGTGATAATGAAGATGATGTTAACACTGCAGAAAAAGTGCCTATTGATGACATGGTGAAAACGTGTGATGGACTTACTGAGAGACTAGAGGAGGAATTGTTCATAACAGAACAAGAAATCACAATAGATTATAAAATCACGGAGAGACTTTTAGGACGAAAACATTAATGATGCAGATGACTCTGGAGGAAACATTTTAAAAAGCCATCCAACAAAATGCCTCCTCATCCCTCGAGGACTCACTCTCTGGTCCCTCAACTGCTTCAGATGTTTCTTTTCCCCCAAGAAAATGCAATGAACCTTTTAATCAAAACACGGAAACACAGGTGGAGACTGATAGCCAGCCATTGTTTGTTGTTGCTGTTGTTTAGCAGCTTATATGGTATCCTGGTGATGTTACTGTGTGCTTAGTTACCCTTGACACATTATTTTTTCAATGCGTTAATGGTATGTCATTTTTTTTTACTGTTAGGTTCTTAATGCATAAATATATGTAAGAAAATGATTGCTTATTGATAGCATAGAAATTCAGCATCAGGAATTACAGTGATGCCAAACAACCACAGATTGTCCCTATGGGTGGCAAAGATAGTGAGACCTTTAGTTTCTGATGGTTCAATGTACACAAACTATGTTTCATGCACAAAGTTATTTAGGCTATTGCATAAAATTACCTTCAGTCTATGTATATAAGATGTATAGGAAACAAAAATAAATTTCCTGTTCAGACTTGGATCCCACTCCAAAGATATCTTATTATGTATATGCAAATATTCCAAAACATAGAAAAATTCCAAATTCAAAACACTTCTTGTTCCAAGCATTTTGAATAAAAAAACTACATAATCAACTATGTCAACAGTTAACAGTTAAGTATCTCAGTATCATATCAATTTTAGAACCTAGTAATGAAGGACAATAAAATTATTTTAAAACAAATAACATTTGATGAATACATTAATTAGAAATGCTTCCCCATGTTTACATATAATTGACATACCCAAAAAACAAACAAACAATAACTAACTTATGGTAAGTGACATTTGCTGAAAAGCTGGTTAATGTATCTAAATTCCGAGCACTATATGAAAAGAAGCCTCTAACTACATATTGAAGTTAAAAAAAATTCAACATTAACAGATTAAAGTTTGCAGTTAATTTATTCTACTAATTAAGTTTATTCTTCTAAACTGATATCAATTTAATAAGACTGCAAACTGCATTGACTTGTCTTTGTTATTGTGACATTTCACTAACGACTCCTGAACCAGAACCCTTAGGTGAAATAATACCTTTCTGAACTTACTGAATAGTGCCATAACCTAAAGGTAGATACTGGAAAATGCAGAGCTTGTCCATTTGAGAAAGGAGGATAGGAGGAAGAAAAAATGAAAAAAGGAAAGAAGGAAAGAAGAGCAACTGACTATTTGTATAAATTTATGATGGATAAGTAATCACATGACAGGTCTCAATAAAGATTTGTTAAGCAACTAAGTGAAATTGGTAGCTATGTTAACCACAGGGGCAAAATTTTGAAATAAGAATAACAACTAATAACTATTTGGATATGGATAATATTATTAATACCAATTATCTTTGTCCAAAGACTTGTGCCAGGGATTTTATGTAAGTTGATTAATTTATTTCTGTCAATGTGAAGCTTGAATATTTATTATTACTGTCATTTTATACTTTACATTTTTTATTTTTAGATTTTATAACTATACTTCTATAGTTATAACTATATTTCTATATAACTATATATATATATATTTGCACACAGCCATATTATTGGTTGTATCTTTCAGCAAAATTATTTCTGTAAATATTCTTAAATTTCCACAACTAATTTAATTTTTTTCTAATTACATAAGAAAAGTACTTCCCAGGTCTGACATATCTGCCTGTTCTTCCACATGGCTACCAGCTTAAGCTGAATAACGCAGCCCACGTTAGAATGACATGTGGTCTTCATTTAATTAGAATCTCCAACTAGACAAAAACAACCCTTTATATCACCTACTGGCCCTTACAATAATTTAATATATTGACACTCATATAAACTGTACACAACTCCCTCATTGGAGCTGTGCCTGCTACAATAGTGAAGAACTAATCTAAATGCATACATTGACAACACTACTAATTCTACTTTTTAATACAGGTGGAGAATTGTCTCTCTAAAGTGAGAATTGTCTCTCTAAAGTAAGCTTCTCTGTTACTGATGACTTTTTTTATGTTGGATAAATTCTTTTATTCTTGTCTGTTTATGAGCATGATGTCCCAACTCCCTTCTCATTTCTGCTCAAAAACTTGGACATCTCTTTTGCATTCCTTAGGAATCATTGCCACAATTTTATGACACTTTTCATCTTACTTTTCCGTGGAGTGGAGAGTGGAGCCATTGATAAGATAGGAGACTTTGTGTAGTTTATTTGGGTGGTGATCTTAGGGAGTAGGAGTTCACTGATCTAGATAAGGTTAAAAAAAATTAGAAATGTGCTGATATGGTCAGCGCTCTTCTAACAGAGTCTTGAGCTGAGCAGTATCTTCTAGTAATGTGTAGAATTTTACCCCAAATTGTCTTCCAGGAATGACAGGCAGAGACATTTATTTGTCTGTTGTCTCCTGTGCCCCATTGGTAAGGATTGTCTCTGTAACGCTTAGCTGTTGTGAATGAATGCCAAGGCCATCATACTGATGTCCATAATGGCAAAGAAGGCCCAGGAAGTAAACAAAAGATGTGAGATACAAGCTTAAGGTGTAACACTGTCAGTGCAATGTGGTCTAAAGCCTGTACAGGACCATTTGCTCTAGCCACAGATGGAATTATTGCAAGTCCTGGATGAGGATGTGACATTATGCATAAGAGGCGTCTAATAGTCTACCTTTGCATTGTTTGTGTGTGTCCTACGTTGTCTAATATATTACCGAGTCATCAAAGTTTGACAGCTACAAGTCTGTAAAAAAGATCTAATATGGGCAGCTTAATAAAACAAGCTTCAGCCACTGATAAAGGCTAAAATTGAAATTATTTCCCTATTACAACCTATTTTATATTTCCTTCACCTTTGGCCAGAACTTCAGCTTCTCTGGGCTACCTGCCTAATGGGTGACAAAGACCCCATTCCTGATGAAACTAATATCCTAGCCTTGTTCTCGCAGGTCTCAATTGCAGTAGTTGCCCACTTGCCATTATCACGGGGAAGAAGGGCACAAAGGACATCCTTGGTGACAGACACACACCCATGTTGTGACTCTGGAGCAGAACCCCCGGTTCCTCATGTTCTATGACCCATTTCATTATAAAACTTCCTTTGTCAGTTGATTCACAGGCATGAGAAGCCTAAAGTAACCTGATATTGATGCTGTGTGCTATGACTTCAAACCAGCAGAGTCTAAGGTTGTGGGGAAGAATAGTAGACTCTCCACATGTGGAACACTGAAAGTGATGGAAGTGAAGCTGATGCTGCATTGGCCCTTTGGGTCCTGCATCCATCTGCCCTATTTGTTAGTGAGAGCACGCTATATGTCAGCTATTGACTTACTGCATATGTACCTGATCCTGTAAGATAGACACCACTTTTGCTGGTCATTTTCAGACTGGTTGTTAGCTAAGACTTTCAACAATCATTCCATCATTATCAAATAGAAGTTAAGTCTCATTTTCAATACATTCTTGCCTGCAGATACAGGAGATAAGAGTTTCTTTATATATAAACTATCTTTAAACAATTCCTTGTAGACTCTGTGGGTTTTTGGAGTGCATGAAGATGACGGTTGCCTAACCTGAGCCTTTCATCTTCTTTTTTGCAAGGCTTCCCATGCAGCACATCCAAGCTGGATAATCTCAAAGCCTAATGATTATCATAACATTATGCCATTGAAAGGATAGAGCTATGACACAACTCAGTTCTGCCTCCTTCTTCATGAAGCACATTCCAGTTCTGCCACATTACCAAATGAGAGTTTTAGTTGTTTCAATGGTAAAAGGTGCAAATTCTGTTATCTCCATCTCCTCTTATTAATAACAATGAGATTCTCGTCATCTCATGGGTGATTGATCCAGTTGTAGGATCCCTCCTGGGGACTGGCTTTCAAAGTCTACTCCTAGGGCAGTTGCCTTAACCCAGACTCTCTCTGTAAGCACAGCCTGAGTCAATATAGTTATGCATGCGGTTTATTTGAGAGTCAATATCAAAAAGAAGGCATGAGGGACTCTAACAGGGAAAGACAATTCAGCTATCCTCTCCTGACCCTGTTGTTTCAGGGTTGCTCCAGGGCAACTCCTGAACTTCTG
The DNA here is from genome assembly GCF_000001405.40 of Homo sapiens. Classification (NCBI taxonomy): domain Eukaryota; kingdom Metazoa; phylum Chordata; class Mammalia; order Primates; family Hominidae; genus Homo; species Homo sapiens. Next base: position 136,873,341 of record NC_000008.11, on the reverse strand, counting down.
GCTGTGTATGTGTGTATGTCTGAGCAAGATTCTATGCATTTCCCCAGCTATGGTGTCACAGATGCCCTGTGTCAGCATGCTGGAGAAACAGATTGTGGGCTTGAAGTGGGAAGCTTTCTGTGAGAAATAAGCCGACCCCACCATGGACCTGTGTGCCACAGCCGTAGCACAGCTAGAATTAGAGTTGAGGCCAAGAAAATAGGAGCAGGCCAAGAGAAAAATCAGATACCTCTTCCTTACTAAAGGATGATAGTCTTTTCTGTGAATTTTCATAGTACTCTGTATACACTTTGACAATAAGACTGATTTCTTATTAGTTTAGGCAGCTTAATAAAACAAGCTATAGTCTCTGCTGATAAAGGCTAAAATTGAAATTCATTATTTTCCTATTGCAATCTATTTAATATTTTCTTCACCCTTGGCCAGAACTTCAGCTTATCGAGGTTACTGCCTAACAGGTGAGTTCCTGAGGACAAACACTAAATTTTATTTTATTTTGCCTTTTCTTAGTGTGTATTTGCACATATTAAATGCATTATCCACATTTTCTGGATGAATAAATGAAAGTTTTGAAATGCATATGAAAATACCCTTATAAATTACTATTTTTGAAGAGTTTTCTCCTATGTGTTTTTATTATTATAGGCTTCTAAGGGGCCTTGTTTTATCAAACCCATTTTATAGATATGAAAACTAATCTGAAATATGTCAAAGATCATTAAATAGGGTTTGTATCAATCCCTGCAACATTATCTAAATAAAACGTAAGTAAATAAATTTTCACTAGACATAACAAAAATGACATTAATTCATAAAAAATAACTCTAAATTACTTGATATTCAATTATTTATGTGGAACAAGATTATTTGGAAAGAAACTGAAGTTTAAGACATAATGAAGTTTGTCAGAGAAGAGACTGAAATCTAGATATGGAATCACAGGCAACAAAAGTAAACTTCCTCTTTTTCTGTGATGTTCAAAGTTCATACCAGATTTTAAAACTCTTTTTCTTTAGGCTCAGAGAACAATGGCAACAATGCATTTTCTGTCTGACCCTAAATTTCAGTTGCCATAACAACTTGAGAGAATTCTATAAATGAATATGTGCTTATTGTACAATTTAGCATTGAGAGAGAAAGAAGGATATAACCAAATATACATTTTCCCCAGTGTACCATCTGTAATGTTGAATTCTTTAAAGATTTCTTTAATTAGCCTACATGTAAATACACTTGCTTTGAAGTACATTGGCTCTAATTGCACTTCAGTTTTAAATGGTTTTCTGTTTTTCTAACGATAAAGGGCTTATATAGCTATTCCAGCCAAGTGTGGGAGAGATGTTTCTGCCTGGAATGAGCTGGCTAATAACCTCAGTTCCCTCTTTCACTGCCAAATAACCTCAGTTCCCTCTTTCACTGCCACAGTAGAGACCTGGCTAGAAGAAGAATCATAACAAAGGCAGCATCAAGCCTAGAAGAGAGAGCTATAAAATCCTACAGGTATCAAGACTGACAGGATGAGACACACTTCTGGACAAGGGAACAAAAATGCTAAGGATAGGAGACACGATATGTTTATTTCCTTTTAGATGAACAAGTAAGACAAGCTCTTTGTTGGGGAGATGATGCTATGGAAAGAGTTGATCTCCTACTCAGATTTTCTGAGTGCTTTACCCTTCCATTAAAATCCTTTCAAGGGAACCTGGTCAAGACAAGATGGCCACCATGGTAATTAACCAAGGTATAAAAGGCTTGGGTCCTCTCCGTCGAGGAGGGATTCTGCTGCTTGGCATTATAGCCATCCTTGGTTTTCAGTTATGCAGCGCCTGGCAGTTTACGCAGCAAAGGCACATGCATAGCCTTCCTTGAATCTCACAGAAGCCCCAATTTTCAAGCAAGGAAACAGCATATGAAATATAAAACAGTAGTAAAGATACTCTACTAAGCAGAAGAAATGAACTTGACCCCTTTCTCTACTGTGATTTAACTGTGTGACTTTGGACCTATACTTTCTCAAGCCTTAGGTGCTTAATATGTAAAATGAAATGATGAAATATGGCTCCCAAGATTGTTGCGAAGATGAATGTACTTCATGAACTTGAATTTCTATAAGGCATAATACTTTACTTTTAGTTTATATGGTTTGTCAGACTTCCTTGATTAAGAATCCAAATCTATTATAAGACTAGTTCATTGTCACATTGGATTTAGAATTAAGGTATGTCTTGCTTTGAACACAGTTTACATTGTTTATGATAAAACAAAAAAGGTCATACATATACAAATACTCCTAGGAAAAACATGTAACATGCAATCCGATGTTTGGTTGCATGGGGCATATAAATAGTTTGGCATTTCAGAGAAGAAAGAAGCTAGTGAGAATTTCAATATTGCACAAAAGCATCTGTGGGAATTTTTTAAAAATTAGCATGGCCTTGTAAAGCAGGTTCAACTTCAAGCAATATGACACATAGATTTGATAAGAATGGCTACTAAGAAACATAGATGTTAAATGTAATATGATTATGAATAGATACAGCAAAATATGGCTGAATTTAAAAGAAAGAAGTTCTAGATGCTAAGAATTAAGCAAGACACTAAAAAAACAAGAGATAATATTGCAGGTATTTATGGAAGTTTTAAACACAGATATATGACTTATGGACAGGATTTTGGGATTTTAATGCCTATATTAAGGATTTTTAATACCTATATTAAGAGATTTTAATGCCTATTTAATGCCTATATGAGGGAGGAAGCTATATTAATAAACAGACAAATCATAGTGAACATGCATTCAAATATACTTAGAAAACTATTAGAAAAAATAGTAGAAAAGGTAGATTCTTTCAAAGACATAAAGAGTGGAATGATAATGTTTTTCTCATCAATAAAATAGAGGATACAAGATAAAGAAAAAATAGATCCCAAGTGCTAAATACAAACAATTATCAACCTCATAATCTAAGCTCAACAAAACCATCATCAATCAAGAATAAATAAGATAAGGACAAAAATTAACATTCTAGAAAACAAAGCAAAACATTACAAAAGAAAAACTGAGTAAGCCTTCCTCTTGCAAACTCTTATTGGCAAAATCAAGAATGAATTTCAGGTAGAAGAAAGTAAAATTGAGAAGAAAAGGTGAAATAATAGAAGGTGATGCACATATTGACAAAGCTAAATAAACATTGGCTGAAAAGGTGTATAATAATGACCAAAAGGCGGCATCAAAAAATAAAAGAATCAATAAAATAACAGTCAATCACCATATGTAAATTGGAGGTATTATGGACATGGAACAAAAAGATGACATTTTAATAAAAATTTTCGGAAAACAAGAATACATTCTTAAAAATATGAACATAGGCCTGGCACAGTGGCTCACACCTGTGATCCCAGCACTTTGGGAGGCCGAGTCTGGTGGATCACAAGGTCAGGAGATAGATACCATCCTGGCTAACACGGTGAACACGGTGAAACCCTGTCTCTACTAAAAATACAAAAAAATTAGCCAGATGTGGTCGCACACACCTGTAATCCCAGCTACTTGGTACTCAGGAGGCTGAGGCAGGAGAATTGCTTGAACCTGGGAGGTGGAGGTTGCAGTGAGCCAAGAACGCGCCACTGCACTCCAGCCTGGGTGACAGAGCGACAATCTGCCTCACAAAAAAAAAAAAAAAAAAGAAAAGAAAAGAAAAGAAAAGAAATGCAATAGATTTCAAGAACAAGGTAATGTTTTGAAACATTAAGAAATCTTCTCTGAAAATTAAATATAGACTAAAAAGATATCAAAAATAATTCAAAAAGAATAAAAATATATGGGAAAATAGAAGAAACACAGAAGGCTGTAACTTAGTGTAAGACAAACAAGAGATAGAAAAAATTCACACCAAATAATACAGAAAAATATTTTACACATCTTCAAACTGGAAAGATTCATAAGTACATTGAAAAATAAATACATATTGCCAGAAAGTTTCAAGATACCTAGTTGATAAATATGACCTAACACCTTTTCAGAGAGGAGGAAAACAAAGGTTTAATATGAAAGTGAGGATCAGAATAGAATTGGTGTTGTCAGTAGCAACTCTAGAAGATGGAAGTCAGTTGCATAATGTTCTAAAAATTCAAAAGGAAACTCGTGTTCAATATGAAAGTATATACTAAAACAAAAAATTAAGGAAGTGAAAAAATTGGAGACAAGATATGTAAAGTCACTAGGATTTATTTCCTATCACACTATTTCAAATATTTTTATTAATATTTATTTATTTTAAAATATTTTAACTTTTATTTTGGGTTCAGGGATATATGCGCAGGTTTGTTTTACAGGTAAACTCATGTCTCAGGGGTTTGGCGTACAGATTATTTCATCTTTCAGGTACTAAGCATAGTAGCATAGTACCCAACAGATTTTTTTTCCAAGACCCTTCCCTGCTCCCACCCTCCAATCACAAGTAGGCCCAAGTTTCTGTTGTTCGCCTCTTTCTGTCCAAGTGTTCTCATCATTTAGCTCCCACTTGTAAGTGAGAACACGTGGTATTAAGGTATTGAGTTTTCTGTTTATGTGTTAGTTCGTGAAGGATAATGGCCTCAAGTTCCATCCATGTTTCTGCAAAGGACATAATTTTGTTATTTCTTATGGCTGCATAGTATTCCGTGGTGAATATGCACCACATGTTTTTTTATCCAGTCTACTGTTGATGGGAATTTAGGTTGATTCATGAATAGTTCTGCAATGAACCTAGGCATGCATGTGTCTTTATGGTAGAATGATTTATATTCCTTTAGGTATATAACTAGAGTGGGATTACTGGGTCAAATGGCAAAAGGGAAATTCTGTTTTTAATTCTTTGAAGAATCCCCACACTGCTTTCCACAATGGTTGAACTAATTTACAATCCCACCAGCATTGTATAAGCATTTCTTTCTCTCCCCGACTTCACCAGCATCTGTTATTTTCTGACTTCTTAATAGTAGCCATTTTGACAGGCCTGAGATGGTATCTCATTGTGGTTTTGATTTGCATTTCTTTAGTGATTAGTGATATTGAACATTTTTTCATAGGCTTGTTGGCCTTATGTATGTCTTCTTTTGAAAAGTGTCTGTTCATGTCTCCTTTGCCCACTTTTTAATGAGGTTGTTCGTTTTTTGCTTTTATGTTTGTTTAAGTTCCTTGTAGATTCTGGATATTAGACACTTGTCAGATGTATAGTTTGCAAATATTTTCTCCCATTCTGTAGGTTGCCTGTTTACTCTGAAGATAGTTTATTTTACTATGCAGAAGCTCTTTGGTTTGATTTGGTTTGATTAGGTTTGATTAGGTTTCATGTGTCAATGTTTGCTTTAATTGCAATTGCTTTTGGCATTTACATCATGAAATCTTTGCCAGTTCCTGTGTCCAAAACGTTATTTTTAGTTTGTCTTCCAGTGTTTTATAGTTGTAGATTTTACATTTAGATCATTAATCCATTTTGAGTTGATTTTTATATAGGGTGTAAGGAAGAGGTCCTGTTTCAGTCATCTGCATACAGGTAGCCAGTTTTCCCAGCACCAGTTATTGAATATATAGTCCTATCTCCATTGCTTGTTTTTGTCAGCTCTGTCAAAGATCAGATGGTTATATGAATATGGCTTAATTTCTGGGTTCTCTATTATTTTACCATTGTTCTATGTGTCTGTTTTTGTACCAGTACCGTACTGTTTTGGTTACTATAGTCCTGCAGTATAGTTTGAAGTGAGTCAATGTGATTCCTCCAGCTTTGTTCTTTTTGCTTAGGATTGCATTGGCTATTCGGGCTCTTTTTTTGGTTCCATATAAAATTTAGAATAGTTTTTTTTTAGTTCTGTCAAGCATTGTATGTACGTTGTGCTAAAATGATAAAATTGAGGAACAGGAATCAAATACAGAGAGAGGAAAGAAGATCCAGGATGGTGAAGGGGGAAAATTCAGGAATAGTAGAATCCCACAGCCTTGAGAAAAGATCAGAAGGCTCTTAATAAGTATGCCAAAGAGCAAGTGGATGTTCATAGATTACATTATATGAATGACTAGTGAGAAAAGTTAAGAGTGATGGAAAATAATGTGACCAAGATTAATGATAGTTACCTTTAAAGAAAAACTAAGAAGTTTAGCAGAGACACTTAAAAAGAGGCAATATTTGAGGAAACTGGGTACTAGACTTAATACATGGGTGATAAAATAATCTGCACAATAAACCCCCATGACACAAGTTTACCTACGTAACAAACTACACTTGTACCCTGACCTTTAAGTGAAAGTTTAAAAAAAGAAATGTAACTATGTTATTGCATGTGACAGTTTATTGTGGTAATACTGTAAATGTATATTAGTCATTCATGCAATTCCTAGAGCAACTTTATAAAATGAGAACTACTGTTATTGCTACTAATGAATGACACAGAGCTAAAATTCAAGCTTTCATTGCTGCCTTTTCTTTCAAACTATATTTTCTAAATTAAGTTTTCATTGGTATTATTAATAATACCACCCCCCAAAAAAAATATTTATAGACATACAGAACAATTCCTTGTCTTTCAGGAGTTTTGCTTTACAGTGTCTCCTCTCTGACTTACTGACTTTGCTTGTCCAAGAGTTATCCTTGAGGCTCCAACCTCTCCTTGTTAATTCTCCATTTTATAAGTTCAAATCAGACACTGAGCAGCACCAAGCTGTCTGTTCCTCTCAAGTCCCCTCCTCAACCCTCTTAATTTTCCACTTTGTTTCTGAATCATCCTTTAGAAGATACACATCCCATCATACCAAGATATAGCCATGTCATATTTTTATTATAGGAGGCTGCTTGATAAATATTCCCTTATAGTGATCACCAAACTGATTCTGTCTTTATTTTAAAATTTGATATTTTGTTTTTCCTTAATTATTTTTCATTAACTTGTTTTTTTTAATATTGTGTTAAAATATTGATCTTGATTATGGAGACTTTTAGCAACCCTTAAATGTTGTTCCTGGGGTGGTCACCTCATTAGCTTTACCCTACTTCCAACCCCGAGTAGACACTATCTTCATCCAGATCTATACCACTACAAAGAAACTGATTGAAATTCACTATTATAGGAAACGCCAACTCTTTTGACAGCAAAGGGTTAAGTCAACTGATTTTTTTCTGTCAAGAGCCAGAGAAATACTTGATATTCTTAGTTGTGTTTCTGTAATAGTTAATAAATTACATGACAAAAACCTGACTATATAAATCTATTGGTCTAACTACGTATTTGTAACTTTTATAGTAGTCCAGCCCTTTCGTTACTTTCCCTCCTTGTGCTCTTAAAGCCAGCCTTGCAGATCTGCCGAGAAAACAAATCCCATTTTTTTCCTTTAGAATAGCCTTCCCCATTCCTCAAAATGGAACTGAGGAAATCAGCATTCCTTATTAGATTCCTAGCTTCAGTTTTTATCCACGGCTGGGAAAGGAGCGACCTGCAAGACTGCTTTAAACACCCTTCGGCATGGCCTGAAGACAAAGGCACGTCCACACTGGAGTGCAGTTGTCTCAAACCTGTTCTGGGTGCTACTGCCAAACGTTCTGGTACTTAGAGTCGGGATGCACAACTTCAACCACCGACTTATCAATGCAGCCGCCTGTGTATTGCAATTGGCCGTTACCTTAAGCACTGAGCCACCCGGGTTTAGTTCAGCCATTTCAAGAAGTATATTTAATGTCGGTAGTTCTGCTTTATTAAAATGCAGCAGAGGTACTCTTCCGTCCCTTCCGTTTATAGTTCTCTGAGAGAGTTCTATTTTTTGGTTTTGTTTTGTGTTTTCTTTTGCATTTTGTATCTTGTATTTATCCCTGAACAAGTTTTGTACTTTTTTTTTTTTTTTAAGAAAAGGAATTCTTTTGTGTATATATAGATACTTGCATGATATACTGTAGTCAACGTTCGGTTCCTCGAAAGGTCTTGCTGCTGTCAGGTGTTATGCACTCCATCCATCATAACTGTATGAAACACATTTCATATGTAAATAAACGTGGGACATTTGGCCCTTGTGCTTCTGTGAGAGAATTATTGATGGCGGGTCTCTGACATCTTTGTGAAGTTTGGGAAGTAATTCATTGCAGCGACAAGCTACAGGGTGTTGCAGAATTCTTCCCACTCAGAAGAATGGCATATTCGTTCTCATTAGTAATCAGCTATTTTGTCACTTTCTTGTTGACTCCATCAGTACATGGGTACAATCCGAGGGTGTGAATTTCAGCTTGAAATTCCATTGCTGTTACTTGTTTTGTTTGTATTGCTCTAAGTTGTATTCATAGCACTTTCATATGTTTCTGCATTTGAACCTTGCAATAAGCCTGTGTGGTAGGCCACATAGGTCCGAATAACCTAGTTTTACAGTTGAGGGAGCTGAGCTCAGATTCAGTTCTTTGCCGAAGCCCTCACAGCTGGTAAGTGGCTTTGCATATTAGAACCCAAATATTTTGCTCTCTAAATCTAATGCTCGCTCTATGTGGTTATGTACATATTGACAAATATTCATTTATTCAACAAATAAAAAGTATGTACAAAAAAAAAGAAATTCACTATTATAAACTTCATATTTAGCATTACCTTTTAAATAGAAAAAAATGATTATACTGTAGTAGTCAAATCCTCCCATTATTACTGCAATTTTTATAATGGGATTTCTGAACCAGGAGTTTCCATTTGATCTCAGGGTAAGAGAAGCAGAGAAAGCAGAGTAGGAGGTCGGGGGAGTACAATGACATGAGATTTTTTTCATGTCACCTAAGATTTAGAGGCACTAGATAAGACTAGGGATTCAGGCGAGGTAAGCTCCATTGGGCTGTTATTAGCACTGGACACAGTCAAAGCCAGATGTGTGCCTTTATCAGCCGTGGGCTGCTTGCCGTGTCTCTCAGAATCATGCAAGGAATATGTTCAGTAAATTCCTTGTCACAATTCAAGAGACGAGAAAAGACTCAATCTGCTCTAATAGGCATTCTCATGCATTTTAAAGGCTGGCATTTTAAAATAGTAGACTAGTTCAGCACAGCTTACAGCAAGCACATAAAGTCCAGTGCGTAAATTTTAGTTTAGGATAAAGACAATAATTTTAAACATTGAAGATGTTCAACAAGGATGATGCCCTTAAATTTGTTAGCTTCTTGATACCGAAGAGCTTAAATTAGTCATTGTGGTCCTCTGTCTAAGGAATTGGAGAAGAGATTTATAGAGGACTGTAAATAGATGGATAATGATAGCAATTATCACCATCATTATCCTCACCATCATCGCCATTTATGGGAGATAATGGAAGAAAGTCATACTGAAAAAGCAACCTCAGGTTCAACTCTCATGGATGAAAATCTAGCTCTGTTATTTGGTACTTTGTGATATTGAGTTACGTAGCTCTTTTCAAATTCCCAGTCTTTAAGGAGGGATAGCAATAACTTCTAACCCATAGAGATAATAAAATGATTAGGATAAGACAAGTTGTTCGCGAATCTCTCAACATATATACAAACTCAAAAATACAATTCCTTATCAAACAACTATTATTTGTCTGATATTGTATATACATTTTTTATTGCCATCATGACAACCCAAATAAAATCTTATATTTCAGATGAGGAAATGACACTCTGGAATTCAGAAGGAATTTGCCTAAATTAACACTATCAGCAGTGACAGAACTCAGCTAAACACACAAATATGCCTGTCTTCAAATCCTTTCCACTGCAGCACTGAACCATTGAGCCTACAAGTCAAGAATTCTGCAAAATACCAAGGAACACAGAAAGAACAACATTTCACAAATGTCTGCATTGTGACAGACAATGTACAAATAGGCATGTAATAAATTAATTTTAAAAATCTTGGCAGAGACATATTTCTGACAGGGTAATTTCTTCATGTTCCACTTTTAAAAATTGAGATAGGATATATACATAGTGAAAGGCACAGACCTTAAGTGTAGAGATTGATGAGTTTTGAAAGCCATATACATTTGTTTAAGAAATACCACTATAAAAAATAGAACATTTTCACTATCCTAAAATTCCCTCATGCTTCTTTCCAGATTATCTCCACCTTGAACACAGCGGCAATCATTCTTCTGATTTATATCACTACAGATTTGATTACACTGTTTTAGAAATCCACAATATGTTGCAATTGTTGCATCAAATTTCTTTTATTCAGCATAATGATATTTAAATTCACCTATTTTATTCCATGTATCAGTAGTTGTATATGTTTTCATTGACAATGCTTATTATTTTTTCTATTGATGAATACTTAGGTTGCTTATAGACTTTTATGAATAAAGCTACTGAGACTATGCTGTACACAACTTTGTATGGATGTATCTCATGGCATAATTGCTCAGTAACAGATTAGGTATTAGTTCAACTTTGTAAGAAAGTACTAATCGTTTTCCAAAATGGCTATACAATTTTACACACCTACCAAAAACATAGGAGAATTTTACTTGTTCCACACGTTGCTAACAGTGTTGCCAGTGTGTATAAACAGCATTCATTCCAGTGAGAGGACAGCCGTATCTCAAGGCAGTCTAACGTTACATTTCCCTGATGATAGGAATATCAAGCACTTTTACATATGTTTATTGACCCCAAAGCATATCTTTCTTTTTAAATGTTTTTTCAAATGTGTTGATCCTGATTTTAAGTGGGTAGTTTTCCTTTTTGACTATTTATGTCACTTTTCTGTATTCTGGTGTATGTCATGTATGACATGTACATATTATTAATTTTTTTCAGGCTGTGGTTTTGCTATTCACTTTGTTAGCAGTGACTTTTAATAAAGTATTACTTTTGATTAAGTTCATGTTATGTTTAATTCTGTATTTCTTACGATTAGTGCAATTTGTGTGTTTTCTAAAATCTTATCAAATGTCAAGTTTGCATAGATTATTTTTATGTTTTCTGCAACACATTACTTTTAGCTTTTACTCTTGGTCTTTGACCAATAGGGTATCAATAAGTTCTTTAAAAATATTTGAGAAACAGGAACGACTTATTCATTTTTTCCAATATAATATCCAAATATTTCAGCATCATTTTTTAAAAAGATGTTATCTTCCCATTGATTTTCTTGGATGTCTTTTTTTGAAAAATCAATTGACACTATAAGGGTGGTCCATTTCTGTCCTATGGCAGAAAGCCAAGTAGAAAGTAGAGCTGTTTTTCCTTTTAGGGATTATTCTTTACATTGCCTTAAAAGAGTTGCTAATAAGTGGAGATGTCAACATCTCTCTATTAGAAAGGGACAGCTCTAATAGTCAGAAAATCAGTAAGGACATAGTTAATTCACACCTACGGAAGACTTCAACAAGAACAAGATGCAAACTCACATGGAACATTCACCAAGATAGACATATTCTAGTCCACAAAACACACTTTAACAAAATAGAATAAATCTTATCATGTATGCTCCCTGATCACAATAGAATTAAACTAGAAATCAATAAGAGAAAAACAGCTGAAAAATTCTGAAATAGTATGAGATTAAACAAGGAATTTCTAAATAACACGAGTCAAAAAATTACAAGAGGAATTTAAAAAGTACTTTGCAGTAAATTAAAAAAAAATACACCAAAATTTGTGGAATGCAGTAGAGATAAAGGTAAAATCTCGCTAAGCATGCTTAGAAAGATTTAAAATCAGTAATCTAAGCTTCCAACTTAGGAGATGAAAAAAAAGAAAATTAAATCCAAAGATAAGAGAAGAAAAAAATAATAAAACTTCGAGACGTCAATAAAATTGAAAAATAAAAATAAATTGAGAAAATAAATGAAATCAAAAACTGCTTCTTTGGAAAGAGCAACAAAACTTATAAGCCTATTACCGGATGATAAAGAAAAAAAAGTGAGAAGAAACAAATTACTAATATCAGAAATGAAGGAGGGTTCATCACTACAGTGATCATAGAAATCAAAAAGATAATAAGGGAATACTATTAACAACTCTATGCCCACGAATCAAATAACCTAGACATAATGGGCCTATTTCTTGAAAGACACAACCTTCCAAAACTCCCACAACAAGAAATAGACAATCTGGGTAGGCATATATTTCTTAAAGAAATTGAGTCAATAATTAATAACCTTACAAAATATAAAGTAACAAGCTCAGGTGTGTTTACCAGTACATTCCTGAAAACATTTAAGAAGAAAATTTTTACCAATTTTCTACAATATTTTTCTGAAGATAGAAACAGGGAGCTGGGTGCAGTGGCTCACGCCTGCAATCCCAGCACTTTGGGAGACCGAGACGGGCAGATTACTACGTCAGGAGATCGAGATCATCCTGGCTAACATGGTGAAACCCCATCTCTACTAAAAATACAAAAAATTAGCCTGGCGTGGTGGCGGGTGCCTGTAGTCCCAGCTACTTGGGAGGCTGAGGCAGGAGAATGGCATGAACCCGGGAAGTGGAGCTTACAGTGAGCAGAGATTGCGCCACTGCACTCCAGCCTGGGCGACAGAGCAAGACTCTGTCAAAAAAAAAAAAAAAAAAAAAAAAAAAAAAGAAGCAGGCACTCCAGCCTGGGCGACAGGGCAAGACTCTATCAAAAAAAAAAAAAAAAAAAAAAAAAGAAGCAGGGAGAATACTCCCTGACTCATTATATGGAGCCACCATCACTCTAATGCCAAAAACAAATAAAGATATTAGAAAAAAATAAAATTACAAACCAATATTTCTCATAAAATAAATGCAAAGGTCCTCAACAAAATATTAGAAAATGTAATGTATAAAAAATTGACAGACCATGACCAAATAAGATTTATTCCAGGTATGCAAACTCTCTCAACATTTTAAAAAATCAATTAATGCAATAAATCACAATGGCAGACTAAAGAAGGCAAATCACATGAAAATATCAGTAGATACAGAAAATATACTTGACAAAATTCAATACCCACTATTGACAAAAACTGTCAGCAAACTAAGAACAATGGAGAATTTCTCAACTTGATAAAGAACGTCTAAAAAAAACCCTCTAGCTAACATTCCATATAACGTTGAAGAATTAATAACTTTTTTTGCTAAAATCAGGAACAAGGCAAGGATATGTCCTTCTCAGCATATTCCTTTTCAACATTGTGCTGGAAGTCCTAGCTAATGCAATAAGATGAAAAGAGAAAATACAATCAATACAGATTTGAAAGCAAAAAATAAAACCATCTTTGTTCACTGAGGACATGTTTGTTTATGTAGAAAATTCAAAAGAATTGAAAAATCAAACAAATCTGCAACTAATAAGCAATTATAACAATGTTGCAGGAAACAAGGTTAATATACAAATGTCAATCACTTTCCTGTATACCACTAATAAACAGGTAAAATTTGAAACTTAGAACACAATAATATTTACATTAGCACACCAAAAAATAAAATATTCAGGTATAAATCTAACAAAATATGCATAAAATCTTGTGAGAAAAAAATACAAACTCCAATGAAATAAATCAAAGGACAAAATAAATGCAGAGATATTTCATGTGCATGGATAAGAAGACTCAATATCGTCAGATATTAGTTTTACCCAACTTAATCTATAGATTCAGTGCAAACCCAGTCAAAATCTCATATGACCCAGAGATTATTCTTCTCAGAATATCCCGAAGAAAATAAAATTAGCACTTCATAAATCTATCTGCATTCCTACTTTTATTGCAGCATTATTCACAATAGCAAAGATACAGAAACAAGCTCAATGTTAGCTGATAGATGATAAAACAAAAAAATTGTAGTATGTATATAATACAAGAAATACTACTCAGATTTAATTAAATAAGAAAATCCTGCCATTTCTGACAACAAGATAAAAACTGGAGGGCATTATACTAAGAGAAATAAGCCAGACACAGAAAGAATAAACACTGCATGATCTCTCATATATGTGAAGTCCTAAAAAAAAGTTGAATATATAAAAACAGAAACTAGAATGGTAGTTACTAGAGGCAGGAGAGGAGGAATGGGGAAATATAAATCAAAAGGTACAAAGTTGCAGGTGTGCAGGGTAAATAAACCTAGAGATCAAAAATACGACATGGAGACTGTAGTTAATAATATTGCATTGCCTACTGAAAATTTTCTAAGAGCGATTTTAGGTGCTCTTACCATATGCACCCCACCAAAAAAAATACACACACACACACAAATAATAAAAATAACTGTGATATTGTGAGATGATGAATATGTAATCTCTATTTATCATATGTTATCTCTATCATTTCATTGTGTACAAATTGTCAAAGTTAATAATAAAAACTGGTTCATTCTTGTCATACGCAATTAAAACACAGTTGAGAGGCCAGGTGAAAATACAGAGTACATAACATTGTTCCAAGAATGTAATTCTCTGAAAGTCTGGCTGTTGAAAATGCCTGTAGTAAACTGAAATTAGTTTTAACTAATAGCTGCTGAAATAACCTTCTGTGACCCACAATTTTACTCATAGCCATCACTCACAAATCAGAGCTTGCCAGCTCTCCAGAATTTTACTGGTGCCAATGAACTTTCTTTCAAAACAAAATGTAAATGCCAATAACTTTTCTTTCAAATAAAATGTTACATTTCTCCTTTTTATAAAATGTCTAACCCTCTCTCTGTTTTTTTGACATACCAAAGACCACTTGCTGTGTGTCTATGCCTTCAACTGCAATTATTACTACCCAAATAAATCATTTAAATTTAAGTATAAGTGAAGGAGAAATAAAATACTTTACAGACAAGCAAATGCTGAGAGATTTTGTCACCACCAGAACTGCCCTAAAAGAGCTCCTGAAGGAAGCACTAAACATGGAAAGGAACAACCGGTACGAGCCACTGCAAAAACATGCCAAATTGTAAAGACCATCAAGGCTAGGAAGAAACTGCACCAAATAATGAGCAAAATAGCCAGCTGATATCATAATGACAGATCAAATTCACACATAACGACATTAACTTTGAATGTAAATGGGCTAAATGCTCCAATTAAAAGACACAGAATGGCAAATTGGATAAAGAGTCAAGACCCATCAGTGTGCTGTATTCAGGAAACCCATCTCACATGCAGAGACACACATAGGCTCAAAATAAAGGGATGGAGGAAGATCTACCAAGCAAATGGAAAACAGAAAAAGGCAGGGGTTGCAATCCTAGTCTCTGATAAAACAGACTTTAAACCAACAAAAATCAAAAGAGACAAAGAAGGCCATTACATAACAGTAAAGGGATCAATTCAACAAGAAGAGCTAACTATCCTAAATATATATGCACCCAATACAGGAGCACCCAGGTTCATAAAGTAAGTCCTTAGTGACCTACAAAGAGATTTAGACTCCCACACAATAATAATGGGAGACTTTAACACCCCACTGTCAACATTAGACAGATCAACGAGACATAAAGTTAACAAGGATACCCAGGAATTGAACTCAGCTCTGCACCAAGCGGACCTAATAGACATCTACAGAACTCTCCACCCCAAATCAACAGAATATACATTCTTTTCAGCACCACACCACACCTATTTCAAAATTGACCACATAGTTGGAAGTAAAGCACTCCTCAGCAAATGTAAAAGAACAGAAATTACAACAAACTGTCTCTCAGACCACAGTGCAATCAAACTAGAACTCAGGATTAAGAAACTCACTCAAAACCACTCAACTACATGGAAACTGAACAACCTGCTCCTGAATGACTACTGGGTACATAATGAAATGAAGGCAGAAATAAAGATGTTCTTTGAAACCAACGAGAACAGAGACACAACATACCAGAATCTCTGGGACACATTCAAAGCAGTGTGTAGAGGGAAATTTATAGCACTAAATGCCCACAAGAGAAAGCAGGAAAGATCTAAAATCGACACCCTAACATCACAATTAATAGAACTAGAAAAGCAAGAGCAAACACATTCAAAAGCTAGCAGAAGGCAAGAAATAACTAAGATCAGAGCAGAACTGAAGGAAATAGAGACACAAAAAACCTTTCAAAAAATTAATGAATCCAGGAGCTGGTTTTTTGAAAAGATCAACAAAATCGATAGACCACTAGCAAGACTAATAAAGAAGAAAAGAGAGAAGAATCAAATAGATGCAATAAAAAATGATAAAGGGGATATCACCACCAGATCCCACAGAAATACAAACTACCATCAGAGAATACTATAAACACCTCTATGCAAATAAACCAGAGAATCTAGAAGAAATGGATAAATTCCTCGACACATACATCCTCCCAAGACTAAACCAGGAAGAAGTTGAATCTCTGAATAGACCAATAACAGGCTCTGAAATGGAGGCAATAATCAATAGCTTACCAACCAAAAAAAGTCCAGGACCAGATGGATTCACAGCCAAATTCTACCAGAAGTACAAGGAGGAACTGGTACCATTCCTTCTGAAACTATTCCAATCAATAGAAAAAGAGGGAATCCTCCCTAACTCATTTTTTGAGGCCAGCATCATCCTGATACCAAAGCCTGGCAGAGACACAACCAAAAAAGAGAATTTTAGACCAATATCCTTGACGAACATTGATGCAAAAATCCTCAATAAAATACTGGCAAACCGAATCCAGCAGCACATTAAAAAGCTTATCCACCATGATCAAGTGGGCTTCATCCCTGGGATGCAAGGCTGATTCAACATATGCAAATCAATAAATGTAATCCAGCATATAAACAGAACCAAAGACAAAAACCACATGATTATCTCCATAGATGCAGAAAAGGCCTTTGACAAAATTCAACTAAAAACTCTCAATAAATTAGGTATTGATGGGACGTATCTCAAAAGAATAAGAGCTATCTGTGACAAACCCACAGCCAATATTATACTGAATGGGCAAAAAATGGAAGCATTCCCTTTGAAAACTGGCACAAGACAGGGATTCCCTCTCTCACCACACCTTTTCCTCCATCTTTGATTTGACTTTGACTATAGATGGTTAGATATCTCAAAACATCATGTTATACGTCTTAAATTTACTCAATAAAAATTATAAAAGGAACTTTCACATATTAGTAGTTAGAATGCAAAATGGTACTGTCAATTTATAAGACAATTGGGCAGTTTCTTACAAAACTAGATATAATCTTTGCTGAGAATGATGGTTTTCAGTTTCACATGAACTCATCCTTTTTTTATGGCTGCATAGTATTCCATCGTGTATATGTGCCAGGTTTTCTTAATCCAGTCTATCGTTGATGGACATTTAGGTTGGTTCCAAGTCTTTGCTATTGTGAATAGTGCTGCAACAAACATACGTGTGCATGTGTCTTTATAGCAGCATGATTTATAATCCTTTGGGTACATACCCAGTAATGGGATGGCTGGGTCAAATGGTATTTCTAGTTCTGGATTCCTGAGGAATCGCCACACTGACTTCCACAATGGTTAAACTAGTTTGCAGTCCCACCAACAGTGTAAAAGTGTTCCTATTTCTCCACATCCTCTCCAGCATCTGTTGTTTCCTGACTATTATCAATGATGTAAATAATCAGAAATGTGAATGAATCGGTCTTATATGTTTCGGATTCCAATTTTCAAGTCACCCCATACTCTGAGTCTTTCCACTTGAGACCCCCATATATTATAAACTGGGGATTACCCTGTTCTTATTTTGTCCTTTCTTAATTCCTGACCCACAGAATCTGTGAACATAACAAAATGACTATTGTGCTATGCCACTAAGTGTAGGGTGGTTTGCTATCATTGCAAAAATAAAAACTGGAGCAAATAAAAACAACTAGAACATCTAAAGTTTTCCGTAAAAGCCAGGATTTCAGTTAACTCTAGGGCTAAGGAAAATTAATATGATCAGAAAATATAGATGAGGACTCTGGTATGCTGACAATTTTATATATCTTGACCTAGATATGATCCTTAATTTATAATTGTTTATTATGCTCTAAATTTATGTTTTATGCACTGTTCTCATTTTTGTATTTTACCACTTAAAAATTCTAAATAAAAAAGCGATTTAAATTTAAATAAACAAAATTCAGCATAGAAAAAAAAACTAGAAATAATCTTACAATTCAGCAATAGTACTTGTTAGTATTTACTTAAATAAGTTAAAAACTAACTTCCTTCCTCCCTTTCTCCCTCCCTCCCTGCCTCCCTCCCTCCCTGCCTCCCTTCCCTCTTCTTTACTTCCTTCCTTCCATAGTCATTTGCCAAGTTACGTGCCGTGTATAATTTGATTAAAAAAGAAAAGAAACTGACTTGGTCCTTAGCCTCACTGATCTTAATTCTACTTAAAACAGCAAAACGACTTTCCCAAATTGAGTGTTCCAAGGGCAGAATTGAGTGAAGGCATTCTGGGAAAATTCATGACACAAAATAACGAAGACAGAAAAGAAAATTGGATTAAGATAAATAATGGTTTGGGGAAATAAGCCATATTATAGAACAAGAAAAGTCCCTGAGAGTATATCTTGACATTAAAATTTCAAATAGATAGAGCATGACACTACTAATTCTGTGGTCTGTTTTCCTACATTGTTAATGATTGTTTTTGGACATCAGTGTCTTGTATTTAACTGGAGGGGAAATACCTTATGGGTCAGAATCATGTCCTGTACTAAAAAAATCTATAGCATTGTATATTCTACTATACTAAATGTTTAATCATGTTTATAATAATGATGACTGTAAGAATAGTGATAATGATCTGTATTCTATTTGTATTTTTATTAAATTTTTATAACGCACATTAAAAAACATTTATGAGTAGTCATGGTTATATAAGAGGAACATGGAATAGCTGTTTTAATTAGTTAAAATAGTACTTGGTTTTGCTGGTGTTTTTTACTTTAGAGAATGATTTCATGTTGACTAAAAGTTCGTGATAATTATGCAAATATCTGTTAATTTGTAAACTAATGAAGATTCATCTTATAGAGGCAGGAAATAAGATAATCCAAGATGGATAATCTAAGATGGTTAATATTGTTAATTAACAGCATTTTCATTTGTGGACTCTTGATGCCAGGTCAGCACATAATTTATTATACAAGATTGTTCACCATAATCTCCTGCATACCTTAGGACCTCTCACATGAATTTTCTGATTTTTCTACTCCTAGGATCATCCTTGCCCAATTACTGAGCAATTTGCATTGAGCAATTTGAGTAGTAATTCTGTCAAGTGTCAGGGCAGTATTTTTATGGCAAAATGTGGGTGAATGAGAAACCAATTTTATCCCATGTGGCAATGGGTTATAGAAGCCACATTTCCAGTGGAACACTTGAGAGATTTTTAGAAAAACACATCAAGAAGTGTACTTTTATGGGCAGAGCTAAGGTGCAAATAGGGTCAAGGAGCAGATGACTGTTGAAATCTGTGGCCCTGTAGGCTGAGCAATGCCCCATTGAGACAGCCAGGTGGGAAGGGCTCCCTGGCAGAGCCTCTAACCAACCTGTACACTGGGAAGACCACACACTGGGGAAGAGCCACAGAAGTTCACACCATCTGCAGTGAGGAGGAACCTGGCCCCTCCTCTTCCTGTGCGGAAGGGGGAATTCAAACTACAAGGTTGGAATGGCACCAGCAGAGACTCTGGCCTTGCGGAGGGTCCCTGTTTCCCTGCCCCTCCCTTCTTTTTTTTCCTTTTTGCCTAATATATCCCATTATTCTCACCATTCAAATTGTCTGTGAGCCCAATCTTTCATGGCTGTGTGACAGGGGCCCCGCCTTTAGCTGAACTAAGGAAAATTCCTGTAATATCATGTGTTCAACCACAGAAATATGACAAGCATGGAAATGATAAGTCAGCTTGATTCCAGAACACTGGCCCTGATAGTCTGGCTCAGTAATTGGGCAAGGATGATCCTAGGAGTAGAAAAATCAGAAAATTCATGTGAGAGGTCCTAAGGTATGCAGGAGATTATGGTGAACAATCTTGTATAATAAATTATGTGCTGACCTGGCATCAAGAGTCCACAAATGAAAATGCTGTTAATTAACAATATTAACCATCTTAGACAGAAAGATTTTTCTCTCACTCTCTTTTCCTCCATCTATAAAATCATTTTATTTTAAACACCTCTAATTTAAGGAACTGTCCTAACTGAAGAAGAAAATGATCAAAGTTTTTTCTGTATAATATACTGATGTCCTGTTCAAAAATAAATGACCTTGTCAACTTTCTTCACTCCTTGCAACTCATAGTAGGAGTACACTTGTTGATTTTACTGAAGAGATTTGTAATACAACAATAGGGACAAACGTAGAAGGCATTGACATGCTGAGGGCTTTAGGAGCATGCAATGAATGTTGTGGCATAGACCCTTTTGTAAAAGTGATGGCCACATTCTCATTTATTTATAAAATGCATGCTATCTAGGTCAAATAGGCTATATCTGTGTGGGAACTAATCACTTCTAACAGCTGAAAGATTTAATGGCTGAGAAAGCTCTCAATAACTCTTCTTCCAAGAGACAGTTTCAGAGATAAAATCTTGAGACTCATTATAGCACTAGAGGTTTGTGGTTTGGCATGATTGGAGATGTTTATGGGCCACTGCTTGGTCATCATCTTTAATGATAATACTCCTGCCTCTTAATGTCTCCCCAGTTATTTTTTTATGAACTGCTTGGATTATATTCTAATTGTTAATGCTCATCACTATAGGGCAACATTTCCAATTTTTCCTTTCTTACTGGCAGATGAATATGGTTCATTTGTGAATGTATTTTATAAAAACAAATGCTATAGCTGAAAGCTGAGAGGACAAGACTTGACATTTGTAAAAGGTATGAATCTATGTCACTTTTCTTCATAATGGTTGTATGACATTGGGCAAGCTATTCACTTCCCTAAGCCTTACTTTACCTATCTGAAGGCTGGTGATGATTTCTGTTCTTCCGCTCTTGTGGAATCATCTATGACCCATCTTTTCCCCAGTATTTCATGTTTCAATATTTCAGCCACATTCATGCTGTGACTAGCATAAATAGCCCATCCAGAATATTTTATATTTTATTATATATAAAATAACATATATTATTACATTAAAATAATTATATTTTAATATATAAATATATATATTATATATTAATCATTTATTATTACATATAAAGTAATACATTTTATATGTACATTTTATATTTATTTAATTTATTATTTTCGGAAGCAAACCTGAGCCTATTTTCTACTAAAAAAAGGTGCATTTCCTTATTATTTAGTGTTCCTTATGATAAAGACAACAGGTAGTTTTTCTTTGTTTATTTGGTCTTGATGAGCCACGTGGATGCCACTCTGTGTTGCACCACTTAGCTTCTCAAATGGCTGTACAGGGCTCTCTCTCTCCCTCTCAGTTCCCTCAATATGTGCAAACCCATCAGCTTGAGAGACAGCCACCAGTTTCAAATCTAAACTCACTATTTCCTCCATCCTCCTTCCAAATCACAATGGAAGGTGAATTTAATAATTGTAATCATTAAATAAGACCATGGCATTGAAACACTTTGGAAATAAAAGGTCTGGTTGCAGCACAGAAGTGAGAAGTGATAATCAATTGAACAATTATTTATATAAAATATGTTATGTAAAAAATGTGTGTGTGTGTGTGTTTGTGATTACCAACTGAAAGTTGATTTATTAATTGAAGTTGATTCTTTGGAAGATACAAGTCTTGGTCCTTCCCTTAATGCAAGGTAGAAAGATAAAACATAAAGGAAACAATAGCTACTGAAATAAGGAATCTAAGACACAGAAGAAGAACACAGCTTGTTCAAAGCCCCAGGTACATAGGGCCACAGCAGGAAGTCGAAGTAAATTATCCTGGTCCTTGGCATAGAATCTTACCACTGTATGAAAGGGAGGAACATGCATCTAAGGTGCTGCTATAATGAAAACCACCAAATACATAAGCTGGATTCTCAGCAGGACCTTATACTTCAACCATATTCTAGTTCAGGGTATTTTTTTATGCTTATCTTTAATGTCATATGAAATTATACATTCCCAGGCCTACTTCTTCCCTGTTATTGTATGTGTCATATCGCTTGATCCCAGAATAGTTCTATATACCCAATGACTAAAGTAAATACACAAACATAAATTAGTACCAAGTGTGTGATTTAAAGTGCACTAAACTGTAAGCAATAGAGACCTGACTCAAAGAAACCTACCTGATAACGCAATTTTATACGTTTGCAGAAGGAAATCCAAGTAGTTCATTAATATAACCACAATCTCAGCCTTTTTTTATTGTGCTGCCTTGAGCATTGATTTCTTCCTAAGCCTATTCCTCATTTTATAGTAGGGTGACCATTCAACTTGCTTACTAGGAAATACCCAGTTTGTATCTTGACATGGTTTGGCTGTGTGTCCCCACCCAAATCTCATCTCGAATTATAATCCCCATAATCGTTGCATGTCGAGGGAGGGACCAGGTGGGAGGTGACTGCATCATGGGAGCATTTTCCCCCATGCTGTTTTGGTGATAGTGAGTGAGCTCGCACAAGATCTGATGGTTTTATAAAGCAGTTTTTCCCTGCTCTTGCTCACTCTCTCTTGTTTGCCGCCATGTAAGGTGTGCCTCTTCCCCTTCTGCCATGATTGTAAGTTTCCTGAATCCTCCCCAGCTTTGTGGAACTGTGAGTTGATTAAACCTCTTCCCTTTATAAATTACCCAGTCTTGGGTTTGTCTTTGTAGCAGTGTGCAAATGGACTTATACATACCTTTTATCTAGAATAATAATAAATTGCATTCCCTTTCACTCTCTGCAGTTGCCTAGCTTTGTAGATGACAAATCATAAGTACTCCTGCATCAAATTTTTGCTGCCAGTTGCAAAGAGGCATACATTGCTACTCATATCCAGTGGGAGAAGTCCCACTTTTAGAAAAGTGAGAATTTACCCATAGGCCTCAACAAGTCTCCCTTTTCACCTATTTGGACCAAATTATGGCATAAAGGATGCAATTTTTATTGTAATAATGAGGCTCATTCCGGAGTCAAATTCAAATCCTAAAGCACATGGGCTATGGTGATGAAAAATTAACACCTGAATAGCATTAAAGTTCTGTTGGAAAGAGAAATAAAAAAATGTGTAGTGGAGCCACTATGCTCTTGATGATTTCTCAAAAATCTTCATGAAGTCATACACTGTGATGATAATAAGGCTGACTAAAACTACAATCAGACTATGAGGGACTTCAATACAGGGTGAGAATGGTTCCCTAATACACATTGTGCTCCTGCATGTAGCTTAAGACTATAAAGATATAACTGTTCAAAGTGTGCTTATTGATTAACTAACTGGAAAATCAACTCACATTCCTTTCACTCAGCCTTTTCTCAATTTATTCTGGGGGCATAACAAAGTTAATATGAAAATTTTGAATCAATAATACAGATGTCCTCATATAAACCATGTTAGAAATCTCAGTCCTACCAGAATGGTCTAAGCCTTTCCTTTATTGCATGGCCTTCTGAGCATTTCTTGGGTACAAATGTAATTCCCACTGAACCATTTCTCAGACTGCATCCCAATCTCCTTCCCACAAATCTCTGTTTGATTGCAATACACTGCATTTAATTATTGTATATGAATGGTGACACAGAAGACTGAAATTAGTATATTTGATTTATATGTTTCCAATAGCATCTAGTTACCCTTTTGCATTGTGATTATGTTTTTGATTTAATTTTTAACTTCAATTTTTATTTTAAATTCAGGGTTACATGTGCAGGTTAGTTATATGGGTATATTGCATGATACTGAGGTTTGGAGTACAACTAATCCCATCATCCAGGTAGCGAGCATAGTACTCAATAGGTATTTTTTTGGACTTTGTTCCCACCTTCCCCGCTCTTGTAGTCCTCAATATCTATTGTTCTCATTTTTATGTCCATGTGTATCCAATGTTTAGCTGACACTTGCAAGTAAGGAATATGTGGTATTTCGTTTTCTGTTGCTGTGTTAATCTGTTTGGGATAATGAATTTCAGCTGCATCCGTGTTGTTGCAAGACTCATGATTTCACAGTTTTTATGGCTTCATAGTATTCCATGGTGTATAGGTACCACATTTTCTTTATCCAGTCCACCATTGATGGGCACCTAGGTTGATTCCACGGCTTTGCTGTGGTGAATAGTGCTGGGATGAACATATGCATGCATGTGTCTTTATGGTAGAATGATGTATATTCCTTTGTGTATACACTCAGTAATGAGATTGCTGGGTTCAATGGTAGTTCTGCTTTAAGTTCTTTGAGAAATATCCAACTGCTTTCCACAGTGGCTGAACTAAATTACATTTCCAAAAGCAGTGTATAAGTGTTCTCTTTTCTCTGAAGCCTCACTAGCATCTGTTATTTATTTATTTATTTTTTACTTTTTAATAATAGCCATTCTGACTGGTATGAGATGGTATATCATTGTGGTTTGTATTTGCATTTCTCTGATGATTAGGGATGTGGATCATTTTTTCATGTTTTTTGGCCACTTGTATGTCTTATTTTGAGAAATGTCTGTTAATGTCTTCTGCCCACTTTTTTAATAAGGTTATTTGTTTCCTCCTTGTTGAATTAAGTTCCTTATAGATTCTGGATTTTAGACCTTTGCCAGATGAATAGATTACATATATTTTTTCTTATTCTGCAGACTGTCTGTTTACTCTGTTGAGAGTTTCTTTTGTTGTGTAGAAGCTCTTTCATTTTATGAGGTCCCATTTGTCAATTTTTGTTGTTCCAATTGCTTTTGAGGACTTACTTATAAATTATTTGCCAAGGCTGATGTCTACAGTGGTACCTTCTAGGTTTTATTATAGAATTTTTTATAGTTTGAAGTCTTACATTTAAGTCTTTAATCCATCTTGACTTAATTTTTGTACATGGTGAAAGGTAGGAGTTCAGTTTCATTCTTCTGTCTATGGCTAGCCAGTTATCACAGCACCATTTATTAACTAGGGAGTTTTATTCATATTACTTATTTTTGTCAACTTTGTCAAATATTATTCAGCTGTAGATTGTGGCTTAATTACTGGATTCTCTATTCTGTTCCATTGGTACATGCGTCTGCTTTTTACCAGTACCATGTTGTTTTGCTTACTATAGCCTTGTGGTATTAGCATAACTTGAAGTCTGGTAACATGATGCCTCTGGCTTTGTTCCTTTTGCTTAGGATTGCTTTGACTATTAAGGATCTTTTTTTGTTTCATTTGAATTTTAGAATAGTTTTATTTTCTAATTCTGTAAAAGATGACATTGATAGATAGAAATAGTGTTGAATCTGTAGATTACATTTGGCAGTATGGCCATTTTAACAATATTGATTCTTTCAATCCATGAGCATGAAGTATTTCTCCATTTGTTTATGTCATCTCTGATTTCTTTCAGCAGTGTTCTGTAGTCTTCCTTGTAGAGATATTTCACTTCTTTGATTAGATGTATTCCTAGGCATTTTATTTTTGTGTGGCTTTTGTCAATGGAATTGTGTTCTTCATTTGGCTTTCAGCTTGGATGTTATTAATGTACAGAAATGCTAGATTTTTTACATTAATCTTGCATCCTGAAACTTTACTGAAGTCATTTATCAGTTCCAGAAGCCTTTTGGTGAAGTCTTTAGGGTTTTCTAGCTATAGAGTAATATCAACAGAGAGATAATTTAACGTCTTCTTTCTCTAGTTGGATGCCTTTTATTTCTTTCTCTTGCCGGATTGTTCTGGCTAGGACTTCTAATATTATGTAGCTTGAGAATGGCGAGAGTATGCATCCTTGTCTTATTTGTGTTCTTAAGGGGAATGTTTCCAGTCTTGCTCATCTATTATGATGTTGATTGTGGGTTTGTCATAGATGTTTTTATTCTGAGGGGTATTCCTTTGATGCCTAATTTGTTTAGGGTTTTCATCATAAAGGAATGTTGGATTTCATCAAAAGATTTATTTGCATCAATTGAGATTATCATGTGGTTTTTGTTTTAAATTGTTTTTGTGGTGAATACATTTATTGATTTGGATATAGTTAATTCATAGGGTTGTGGGCTATGTACTTACATGTGTTTTTTGGTAGCAGGTATTGTTCTTTCATTTCCACTTTTAGAACTCTCTCTTAAGGATCTCTAGTAAGGATGATCTAGTGGTGATGAATGCCCTTGGTGATTGCTTATCTGGAAAATACTTTATTTCTCTTTCATTATAAAGCTTAGTTTGGATGGATATGAAATTCTTGTTGGAATTTATTTTCTTTAAGAATGCTGAGAAATAGGTCCTCAATCTCTTCTGGTTTGTAAGGAGTCTGCTGAGAATTTCTCTCTTAGCTTGTTGTGGTTCCCTTTGTAAAAAATCTGACCTTTTTTCTAGTTGGCTTTAAGATATTTTCTTTAGTGTTGACCTTAGACAATCTGGTAGCTATATGCCTTGGTGTTCATTTTGTCTAGTATCTCAAAAGTATTCTCTAGGTTTCCTATAAAAGAATGCTTACCTCTCTAGCAAGATTAGGGAAATTTTCTTGAATTATTCCCTCAAATATATTTTCCAGGTTTTTTTTTTCTCTTTGTTTCTTGGGAATGCCAGTAATTCATAGGCTTGGTCATTTTATATAATCCATTATTTCTCAAATACTTTTTTTTAAATTCTTTTTTTCCTTGTGTCTATCTGACTGTGCTGGTTCAAAAGACTGATCTTCAGGCCCTGAATATTTTTTTCTTAGTCTAGTCTATTGATAAGGCTTTCAAGTGTATCTTGAAATTCCTTAATTTTTTTCATTTCCAGAAGTTCTGACTGATTTCCTTTTAAGATGTTTATCTCTATTTTCATTTATTGAACTGCTTTATAAGCTTGTGTTGATTTTCAATCTTATCTTGGATCTCACTGAGCTTCCTTGCAATCCATTCTTTGAATTATTTGTCATGTCTGAGTTTCTATTTTGGTTAGTGTCCATTGCTGGGAAGCTAGTTTGATCCTTTGGTGGTGTAACAACATTCAGACTTTTCATGTTGCCAGAATTCTTATGCTAGTTCTTTCTCAGCTGGAGAAGCTGGCATTTCTAATTTTTATAATTACTTTTGTGCTGATAAGATTATTTTTCTTTCTTTCTATATAATTTTTTTCTTTCCCTCTCCCCTCTACTCCCAAGGGGATGTCACTGTACAGAATGTTGTGTAGAATCTTCTAACATTGTTGCTATAGTCCTATGCACTTCTTTTTTATTTTTAGCATTATTTTATTTTTATTTACATAGGTTTTGAGGGAACAGGTAGTGTTTGGTTACATAAGTAATTTCTTTAGTGTTGATTTGTGATATTTTGGTGCACCCATCACCCGAGTAGTAGACATTGTACCTAATTTGCATTCTTTTATCCCTCATCCCCTCCCACTCTTTTCCCCAAGTTCCCAAAGTCCACTGAGTCATTCTTCTGCCTTTGTATCCTCATAGCTTAGCTCCTACTTATGATTGAGAACATATGACAGTTTGCTTTCCATTCTTGAGTTACTTCACTGAGAATAATGGTCTCCAATTCCATCCAGGTTACTGTGAATGCCATTATTTCATTCCTTTTTATGGCTGAATAGTATATATATGTAGCACAATTTCTCTATCCACTCATTCATTGATGGGCATTTAGGTTGATTCTATATTTTTGCAATTGCAAATTGTGCTGCTATAAACAAGCATATGCAGGTATCTTTTTGAAATAAAATGACTTCTTTTTCTCTGGGTAAATACCCAATAGTGGAACTGCTGGATCAAATGGTAGTTCTTCTTTTAGTTTTTTAAGGAATCTCCACACTGTTTTCCATCATGTACTAGTTTATATTCCCACCAACAGTGTAGAAGTGTTCGTTTTCACTACATCCTCGCCAATATCTTTTTTTTTTTCCTGGTCATTCTTGTAAGAGAAGGTGGTATCACATTGTGGTTTTGATTTGCATTTCCCTGATCATTAGTGATGCTGAGCATTTTTTCATGTTTTTTGGCCACTTGTATACCTTCTTTTGAGAATTGTCTATTCATGTCCTTCGACCCATTTTTTTGATGGGATTGTTTGTTTTTTTCTTGCTACTTTGTTTGAGTTCCTTGTAGATTCTGGATATTAGTCCTTTGTCAGGTATATAGATTGTGAAGATATTTTTCCCACTCTGTTGGTTGTCTGTTTACTCTGCTGATTGTTTCTTTTGCTGTGCAGAAACTTTTTAGTTTAAATAAGTCCCACCTATTTATCATTGTTTTGGTTGCATTTGCTTTCGGGTTCTTGGTCATGAAGTCTTTGCCTAAGACAATGTCTAGAATGTTTTTTCTGATGTTAGAATTTGTATGGTTTCAGGTCTCAGATTTAAGTCCTTGATCCATCTTGAGTTGATTTTTGTATAAGCTGAGAGATGAGGATCCAGTTTCATTCTTCTACATGTGACTTGCCAGTTATCACAGCACCATTTGTTGAATAAGGTATCCTTTCCCCACTTTATATTTTTGTTTGCTTTGTTGAAGATTAGTTAGCTGTAAGTATTTGGGTTTATTTCTGGGTTCTCTATTCTGTCCCATTAGTCTATGTGCCTATTTTTATATCAGTACCATGCTGTTTTGGTAACTATAGCCTTAGAGTATAGTTCGAAGTGGGGTAATGCGATGCCTCCAAATTTGTTCTTTCTACTTAGTCTTGCTATGGCTATGCAGGCTCTTTTTTTATCCATATGAATTCCAGAATTCTCTTTTCTGATTCTGTGAAAACTGATGGTGGTATTTTGATGGGAATTGTTTTAAATTTGTAGATTGCTTTTGTCAGTATGGTCATTTTCACAATATTGATCCTACCCATCCATGAGCATGGGATGTGTTTCCATTTGTTTGTGTCATCTATGATTTCTTTCAGCAGTGTTTTGTAGTTTTCCTTGTAGAGGTGTTTCACCCCCTTGGTTAGGTATATTCCTAAGTATGTTATTTTTCTGCAAGTATTGTAAAAGGGGTTGAGTTACTGACTTTATTTCCAGCTTGGTTGCTGTTGTTGTATAGCAGAGCTATTAAATTGTGTACGTTAATTTTGTATCCTGGAACTTTGCTGAATTCATTTATCAGTTCCAGGAGCTTTTTGGAGGAGTCTTAAGGGCTTTCTAGGTATACAATAATATCAGCAAACAGTGACAATTTGACTTCCTCTTTACCAATTTGGATGCCCTTTATTTCTTTCTCTTGTCTGATTGCTCTGCTAGGACTTCCAGTACTATGTTGCATAGAAGTGGTGAGAGTGGGCATCCTTGTCTTGTTCCAATTCTCAGTGGAATGCTTTCAACTTTTTTCTGTTTGGTATTACATTGGTATAGCCCTATGCACTTCTGTCAGCAGGTGTTATATTGGGCTGTATGATTCAATCTACAGGCCAGTAGATGGTGGTTACAGATATGAGTCACCTTCAGCACAGGCAGGTGGGTATGTACCTGATCTTTGTTTACTGTGAGATGCTGGACAGTGGAGTGACATGTACCATAAGCTTCCTATTCCAAGTGGGTGGGGGGACAGAGCTGGGCAGAGCTAGAGTCCCTGGCTTGCTCACAAATACCCAAATGGTGAGTGCAGGCACCACCCCTCAGGAAGGTCTCTGGGAGGAGCTTCCAGTAAAATGCACTGATGTCTCTGTGGGGTACTGGTGGTGAGGAGACTGCACCTGCTTCTTATTCTGAATAAGTAGGTAAGAACATGAACCATTAACCTATTACACCCCTGTTCCAGGGCTGGTGACTCCTAGTTTGGATGCTCACTCTAGTCTAGTCTATTTCTGTCATTAGAAACGTTGGGATATACTTGTTTTGTGACTCTCTGTGGGAGTGGTTTTGGGACAGAACTTCAGCACTCAGCCTGATACAGATAGCTTGACGGCTTGCCTGTTCTCTGATGTGATAGCATTGCTGCTTCATGTAAGGGGAGGGGCTCCATTTTTGGATCCCTGCAGGTGGGTGTTGGTTGTGTTGGTGTTAGCTGGTAGGTTTGCCTGACCTCAGGTCCTGCAAGAGTCATCAGGTTCCAGCAGAGTTGGAATGGGCTAAGGTAGTTCCCCAGTTCTCAGGCTCCTAGGACTCCTAGGACATACTGTTGGACAGTGTGTATGAGTCCTGATGGAGATGGATGGAGTCTGTCTCCCCATGGTTCAAGTGCTGGTTGTGATGGGGAAGGGTGGGCTGGTCCCCAGATTACCATATGAACTCTACAGCTGGAGGAGACAGAATGTGTAGGCAGTGGGAGCTGGAGGGATGATCACAGGCCTGTAGTGATAAGGTTTTCAGAAGGGCTCTGGTCCTCAGTTGAAATGCTCAGGCAGGGGCAGGGTGAGTCTGCAGGGAGCCAGAAAGCATCAAATCACATTTTTCAGGGAGCAGCAGGGATGGGGGTGTCATGTGATAAACAGTCTGACCACCTGTCTGTACAGTGGCAATCATAGAAGGTCTGCCAGTTACCTCTAGGAGTTTCATTCCAGAGCAATGCAGAGCTGCAACAAACCCCAGTGATCATGCAGGGGCCAGACAGCTGCACTTCAGTCCCAAGTCATTGTGCCCTGCTTGGTGAGGAGAGGCAGGGGTGGCTTCTGCATTGTGTCTGCTCCTCAATACCATATCTGTGGCACCTATCCTGGGGGCATGTGAAAGTCCTTGTCTTCCCTTGTTGGAGGGGCTGTGGCAGTTGGCACTGAGGTTTTTAAGGATCCAAGGCCCACAGGGCTCCTAACACATAGTCCAGCCAGCTCTTTGTGTAGGTCTGGAGTCCTGGGGGGAATCAGATGGCTCTCTTGTGCCCAGGGTAGCAGAGATGCAGAATGGAAAGTGTGGATCCTTCAGAGGCTCTCACTTATTCACCTTTTCTCTGTGCAAAGGAGCTTCCCATGGTTCTGCACCAATTCTGGGCGGGTGACTGCCTGGCTTTGCTATTCTCTGTTCTCCATGGGTCCCATTGCTTCCTTCATAATTCTTGACATTATCTCATAGGCGATTGACTTGAAGAGCTAGTATTTACTCACCTCTTTGTTTCCTCTCCATGAGAATGACTCACACAAGCTTCTTCTAACCAGCTACTTTGAACCAGAACCCTTAATATGATCCTTGAGACACCTTTTTATCAATGTCCTGCTGCAAACTTGCAATTTGTGGGCTGAATTGATTCAATCCAAGGACAGATGGCACAGGTGCTGTGTGGAGTGAGAGCCCACCTAACAAATTCTGATGGGATTTCCTTAGTCACTGCTGAGTTTTAGAGCATTCCAAGGAAAACACACAAAGCTTAAGCCCACATACTTGGCACTGAACTGGGTAGAGTGAGGATGTTCTAAAAGCACAGCCAGGGGAGGGAGAGGGGTGTGGTTATGTTTTTAAATAACTGGTTCATTTAGTGACTCAAATATCTAATATATGTTTGTGCCCACCCACTGTTTTTTGAGAATAATTGAGGCACAAGAGAAACAATTGTGATATCAGACAAAGTTCTTGCTTTCATGGAGTTTATATTTTCATACAATAACATAGTCAATAAATGGATACATTTTATATGTTGGAAGTTGGTAAGTGCCCAGGGGAAATGGAGCAAGGTAAGCAGAACTGAGAGTATAGAGGAGGGGGAGGGAGAGGGTTGCTCTGTTATACAGGTGGTCAGGAAAAGACCTCTCTGATATAGTGACACTTGAGCTGTCTAAAGAACTCTGTCTAAAGCAAAGAACCAAGTCATGCAGATGTCTGCCAGAGCAATTAGAGCTCTAGAGCTGTGATTTGATCTTCTATCCATCCTCAGTGCCTAGCACAACGCCTACAAGTGGCAATTCAATAAATATTTGCTGAATGCATCCAGCCCTTATAATTATTCTTTATAGCATACTATTAAATATCCTGACCAAGAGATTAGATTAATTGTAGTTCTAATGTCAAGACAAAGAGAAAACAAAAGGCCGCCCATCTCTCTGCATACATGACTTATATTCTGGGCTTAATCTGACATTCATTAATAGAAACAAAGCCATAGAGGACACATTATTAGCCAATGGCTTTCTCTACTTTCTAATTAATTCGAAGAACTTCTAAATATATTTAATTTCTCTTATGCTGTTTGCCTCTCTGCTTCATGGTATGAAAAATCAGCTACTTAAGTAATCATATAACACTGGCTCCAAGAATTACCAGTCCTATGATGCGCCCATTATAAAGCAAGTAATAAATATTGCTGCAATTTTGTAGTGGCCACATAAATCTGCCTAGATAGTATTTTTCTAAGATGTTCTCAGGTCCTCCATATCAAGTATATGGAAATCCACCTGCCCTGAAATTGCCCTTTATTAGATGAACAGACAATCCAAAAAATTATGCAAATGTGACCTTCTGGGAAGCAGAGGAACAGAAAAACATATACCATCAGCTGTCCAAGAGTATTTTGCCTACACTTCTTTTTTTGAATAAAGAAGCAAATCGGAGCTATTGAGCTTCAATAAAATAATCAAAATAATTGTTTTCATTGTATTTAGCAGTACTTGCATGAAATCTATTTTTCTATAATTTTACTTTCAATCTCTTTGCATCTTTGTATTTTAGATGTTTTTTCTAAAACCATTTAATTGGATTTTGTTTCTCCAGTTGTTGTTCTTCTGTTATCTAGCTTAAAAATATCCATATTTTTGAATGAAGTCTCAATCCTCTCAGATCCAATATAATTAGTTACGTATTTTGACCTCAATTTTGCACCTTCTTTTGTATTTTTCATTTGTCCCTTCCATTCCATGATTCATTCTTCTCTCATTTCCATTTACTGTTTCTTTATAATTCTACTTTTCCCTCTACTAGTGTTTAAGTTACTTGCTCGATTTTGGACATTTTAATGTTACCTAAGAAATTACAAAGCCCATAGCTAATTTAAGACAATTACATCCTACCTAGACCACACAAACTTCAGAACACTTTTTTTTCAATTTTTATCCCTCCAGACTTATATTAATATAGTTGTGTTATTTAATTCAATTTTATGTATTTTAACCTTATGGATTTTTTTTTTTTTTTGAGACAGAGTCTCACTCTCTCACCCAGGCTGGAGTGCAATCGTGTGGTCTTGGCTCACTGAAACCTCTACCTCCTGCGTTCAAGTGATTCCCCCCCCTCAGCCTCCTGAGTAGCTGGGACTACAGGTGTGTGCCACCACACCCGGCTAATTTTTGTATTTTTAGTAGAGATGGAGTTTCACTGTGTTGGCCAGGCTGGTCTCTAACTCCTGACCTTGTGATTCACCAGCCTCGGCCACCCAAAGTGCTGGGATTACAGGTGTGAGTCACTGCACCCAGCTTGGATGTTATCATTTTATACCGTAATTTTGTTGTCATGGATAGTCTGTAAGCATCCTTTATTATTCCTGCCCCATTCTCTGCCTCCCTTGTTTGGGTCAGAGGTAGAAGCCTGAGACCACCTTGCTTTGGCTTATTTATCAGTAAGATTGCAGTTTACATTTCACCACTGGAAGGCACTCACTACAGCTTTGGAAAGCATAAAAGAGCAGACACCATCATTGCCCTGGCAGGAGAGGGCAGACACATGGCTTTTGGCAGATAAAAGATATGAGATTGTGAAAGTAGTTTTCATGAAACTTACTACAAATCATTTCTTTAGGATGCCATGCACCTGAGGTAATTGGCAGAGGTGTCATATAGTTTCTGTGATTTATGACCTCCTAATCTCTGTAAAGCAGCTTCTCCAATGTTCACTAGTGTAGCTCTTAATTTTAGTATAAAACTCTATTTCTCTTGATTTAAATTCTTTCCTTTTTGAAATACTTCAAGTGTTTTCTCTTTCCCAATATATCTTGACTCATAGTGTTAAGTGCAGAAATTTATTCTATGAAACATACATTTAAGAATCAGTGATAGGTTATTTGACTTGGTAAAATATGAAATAATAAACTCATGCCAATAGATAATGGGATATTGGTATCCATGAGTAAGACAGTAACTCAAATTATCACCTCTACTACCAGGAATGAAATACCAATTTTAAACTAGACCACAGTTGAAATACAACCGTATGGAAGAAATAAGGATTATAAAGTCTATGGGATAGAATTCTAACCCAGAACATGCTGTAGAGTTTATAGAAAATAAATGACAGGGCCAGGCGCGGTGGCTCACGCCTGCAACCCCAGCACTTTGGGAGGCTGAGGCGAGTGGATCCCGAGCTCAGGAGATCGAGACCATCCTGGCTAACACAGTGAAACCCTGTCTCTGCTAAAAATACAAAAAATTCGCCAAGAGTGGTGGCAGGTGCCTGCAGTCCCAGCTACTCTGGAGGCCGAGGCAGGAGAATGGCATGAACCCAGGAGGCGGAGCTTGCAGTGAGCCAAGATCACACCACTGCACTCCAGCCTGGGCGACAGACTGAGACACCGTCTAAAAATAAATAAATAAATAAAATAAAATAAACAAATAAACGACAAACTCAGGACTTTCTCAAATCAAGTTTAGCCTAAAGCTGCCTCCTTCCATATTTTAAGTTCAGCCTAAAGGTTTCTCTGTACATCATGAACTCTAACAAGTGGAAGTCTAAACAGAGCATAGCCGACACTTGGGTCAGTCTCCAAGTTTTGGCCGATCAAATGCAGCCAACTGTTTGAACCATATTCAAATAAGGCAAATGGCAAGCTGTAACCAACCTCACTTCCATTTTCTGTATGTTGCATTCCTTTTTCTAATCATAAGTCTTTAACAACATGGCTGCACTAAAGTCTCTCAGCCTACTCTGGCTCAGGAGGCTGTCCAATACATGAATAGTTAATTGCTCAATTAAACTCTTCTACATTTAATTTGGCTGAAATTTTTCCTCTATCAACTTCATTTTTCCTCTATCTACTTCATTTTGCATAATTGAGATCAGGAGATATTCTATTACTGTCCTAATACAGTCTCCTAATAGTGCTAATATTTTCTGGAATTGGATCCTGTGGTATCTTAGTTTTTGTTTTTTTAGAAACAAGTTATAAACAAGAATATCAGTTCAAATGATTCATTTGGATGAGATCCTAAGAAACACCAGTAGGGGAATAGAGAAGGAGGTGGGAAAGGAAAGGCAATTTGTTAGAAGTATGTTACTGAGCAAGTTTCTGCTGTGGACACCTAGACACCAATCTTGCTGGGAAATTCTGGGAGTCAGTATAGAACATGCAGCTCAGAGTTATCCCATTCACCACCCAATGGATGAGGTGTGTTTATAGATCAACATCAGCCAGTCATTAGTTGATACCTATGGGGAAGAGAAGAATTTACTCACACATTTATATCTTGCCAGGAGCATGAACTGAGTGGAATTCTACCAGCAGAGAAAGTTCTCTGGCAAAAGGATGTAGCTGCCATTAGTTGGAAATCTGCTAGTTAGCACTGCCATGGTGCATCTCAAGAGGATTTGGGCAGGGCACCCACAATGCTTGACAGATGAAGGGTGCAGAATTATCAATGAAGGTTCCTTTTGTGACATGTATTTTTAAATTTCTTTGGGTTGAAATTTGTCTCTTAATGTGTCTTTTTTCTCCTGTAAAACCAAATCCAGGAAAATTGTAGGAAGAGTCCATAAAGAAAGCATGAGTTTTGTAGTTGTACATTAGTGTTTTAAGTCACACATGTAAGTATGGTATAAACACCAGTCTTGATTCAGTAGAGACATTAACTATCATCCCATTTCTGACACTGGTTAGTTTTACAATCCCACAAAATTCTGCTTAACCTCTCTAGAAATGGAGAGATATTGATCAAGAGGTACAAAATTTTGGTTATGGAGGATGAATAATTTGTGGAGTTCTGATGTACAACAATGACTACTCTTAATAATATTGTATCATATTCTTCAAATTTGCTAAGAGGGTAGATCTTAAGTGTTCTCACCACAAAAAAAGGAAGAAAGGAAGGAAGGAAAAGAGAGAATGAAAGAAAAGGAAAAGAGAAGAAAGTAAAAGGAATGGAAAGGAAGGGAAGGATAGGGAAGGGGAGGAGGAGGAAGAAAGAAAAGAGGGAAGAGGGAGAAAGGAAATGAAAACTAGGAAATACGGGAGGTGATGGATATGTTAATTATCCAGTATGATGAATATTTCACAATGTATATGTATTTCAAATATCAAGTTGTTCACCTTAAATATATATCATTTTACTTGTCAACTATGCCACAATAAATTTGGGGAAAACAAACTCTCTGAGCCTCAACTTTCTCATTGAAAGTAGACTAACACTGTCTACATGTGCAATTGATAACGATGAACGTAAGTTATATATGTGAAATAAATGATGAGAATTTACATGAAAAATGTTTTAGTAAGAGTTGGTATTTGTGATTGTCGGAATTTTAGGCACCCCCTAGTATTTCTTCTGGTAAACTGAATATATGTATTTGGATTAAAATTCTTCATTAAATTCTTACCATCTGAAATCCAAACTCTTCAGCTAAACATTAGAAAACTTTTATTATTTGACATATTTTGCTTTCCCTGCCTTAACTACCTCTGGTCTTTTGATCAATTTCATATTTTAGTTTCAAATATCTAAGTTGCTGTTATTTTTAGATCATCATTTCCCCCTCATAGCAGAGTTTTTGTATTCAAAACCTGTGCTCTCCTGCGTATATATATTTTGTCCTTTCCTGCTAAGCTAACATCTCAATGTCCTTCACATGTCATTCCTTCAGAACT
Organism: Homo sapiens; assembly: GCF_000001405.40. Lineage (NCBI taxonomy): Eukaryota > Metazoa > Chordata > Mammalia > Primates > Hominidae > Homo > Homo sapiens. The sequence continues at coordinate 136,836,703 of NC_000008.11, read as the reverse complement.
TTACACCTGAAAATAAAAACTGAGCTAAACCCTTGTCTCTGGTGTGATCTAGCACTTTAGCACACCTCTGTGAATCTTGAATTATCATAGTCTGTCTCTCCACAGTGACTTTCTTGTGAGTATAGAACATGGTGCTTTAGAATATAGCAGTTGTATGGGGGGATATTACAGGGGAAGTAAAAAAAAGTCATTGTTTTCATCCTGAAATTTTGTCTGATTCCAAAGGTGAAAAAAAAAATTGATTCTAACTGTCCTGCATTCTAAATTCAGAAAACAGGAAACCATTTGTGGCACCTTGTCTATGTGGGGCTGAGAGGTGCTTCTTCAACAGAATTGATCCTGCCTCTACTATCACACCCCTTCCCAATCAACGTAAGAAGGGGACTGACAAGAGAGGAAGACACCAAATCCTATCTCATGAGAGAGGGGCAAGAGGCCACAAACTGGGGAATTCCAGAACCAGGCTCCATCTCTCCTGACATGGAACTGATTTGCATTTTTCACCTAAAAAAGCCCTGCTCTTCACAGGGAATCAACACAGCACCAATAAAAGAAGAGAAGAGAAGAGACACCAACAGAAAGAGAACTGAAACCCAAGTACCAACCAAGAAGCCAGCAGACGTCTTGGTACCCCTGGTCCTTGTTTCTGCTCCAAAATTAGAATGACAAGAACAGGGAAAAATGAAGGGGAGCATTCTCTGAGAGTCATCCTCAAACACCCTCATGGCATGCCTTCAAGCAGAGGAAGGAGGAGGGATTTGTATTGCATGTGAATCTGAAACTTTGAAATAATAATAACAAGTTAAAACAAGCAAACAAAAAAAAAACAGAATGAGACTCTTCAACAAACAAAACAACTAACAATTATAAAAAGAAGCTAAGATATTGTTAATAGATCCCCCTCTGAACTATCTAGGAAGGAGAAGTACACATAGAGGTAGTTATGGGAAACATAAAACTGTTCATGTTTATGTCTCCCAAAGGTCGAGAGATCATAATATGTCAGTAACAGTATTTTGTGAATGAGTTACTTGCTTAATGTTGCTGAACTGAATTGGGTGGGACCAGACCTGGGCTGTGTGCCAGACATTTCATTGATGCTGTGATAGATATAAAAGGAGAGTGAAGCATTCCCTCAACAAAACTATCTTAAATTCTTTGGCTTTGTTTGTATCTATGGAAAGTTTTATACTGCATCCTGATTTGCAAGCAAAATAATGCCAGGACAGAGAATCAAGATAGATCATTTTGTGTGCCAGAATCCGAACAAATAGAAAAATAATCATCCTTGGTTCCAGGCAACAATTTTGTGCTTTAATGATTACATACAAAATGTCCTGAAGCTGAAGCTCATACAGTTATACATTTTCTCAAATAAAGCATACAGTGCTGAGACTGATGTACAAATTACAGGCACTTTAGCAAAGCCTTCAGGTAGGAAGAAGAATAGTAGAATCATGATATCCTTTCTTTTAAAATTGATTCATAAGAAATCATGGTAAAGGGAAAAATAGTATACTGTTTACATCAAATTTTGAGAAAATGGGGTTCAAGCTAGGTAAATTTCTTGAACAAATGAAGCTTGTCTTTTCATTTCTATTAAAAAAAAATTTGTTTTGAAAGAAATTCTTTCAAAATGACTGTGGCTGCTCCCTTTCCCTATATTAAACTAAAATATATTTATCATAGTATAATATGTTTTATCACAAAGTGGCACTTTGATATATAAGGAATTGTTCCCAGTGTTCATTTTTTTATTATTTTTCTTTCTTTTGCCCTTCTCTGAAGTAGCTTTAAGAGCTACACTTATTGCCCCCAAAACTCTCATATTACTACTTCCAATTGGTGTTTTTCTATAATTGGACATAAAATGGAAAGCGCTATATAAATGTGGTAGTGTTAAGACAGAACTAATAATAATGGTGAGCTCTGTTAATATTTGCCTATTTAATTTGTTTAAATACCCAATTTTCTACATATGAAGTTATTTGATTAAGAAAGAATTCGTGAACTTTGGGGAACTGTCTCCAGACCAATTTTCCTGTCTATTCTACAATCCCTAGTGTCTTCTCTATTTCTAGATGCATTGTATTTTTTTATCACTTCATTATAGATCATATCATTTCCTCTGAGTGAAAAATCCATCTCCCTTTCATTTTATCATTTCCACATTCCATTCATCATTTATACCCAGATCAGGAAAAGAATATTGCTTTCCTGACTGATTATATTGCATAATTAGAACTGTCCACACTGAATTATAGTAAATCACTCACACATCTAATCTCAAACATTGGGCCCTCCTTGAGAACAGGGATTCAGTCCCCTTACAGTTCTAGTCCCACTGCAACAAGTAGTTGCTAAAGCAATGCTTGCTGAAGTCAATCACAAAGAAATGCCTTTTTCCTCTGAACTATGTTACGGCTTATTGCCAGCTCCACACACTTAACATGGACAATTTTGTTTTCACTCATTCATTCTCGTATCAAGCCCTTATTATCTTCTGGCATTGTTCTTTTTGTGCTGTCTCAATTACAGTTTCAATAGATATGACAGGATTTGGGTGGGCACAGGCAGGTTTGGAGGCAGGAGAGTGGGTAGTAATTAACATGGTGTTTTGAGAACTCCACCCCCAGAAGAGAAGGAAAGGAAGAGCTGTTTATTCTTAGTTTTTTTTGTTTTTCCAGGGCTATCTACAATGGGATGGCAAGAAGAAAACGACACTGTGCTCCAGCAATGCCAGCATCCCCTTGTCTCCCCAATGCTTACTAGCTTTCTGTTTTTTCCCACTTTGGGCCACATCATGACTGTCATGGGCCTGAAACACTTTTGCCTCCATGGGTCCTTTATCCCAGAAAAAACTAAAAAAAATATACTTTATAATTGCCTTGGTATGAAGATGAATATTCTTCAGGCTGGGTTCCATTCATTTTATTCTTCTGATGTTTAAAGACATTAAGACATTTTCGTGGGCCCCTCAAAGCATTGTGGGCTGTAGGCACAGTGCTATTGTGCCTGGTGTAGATGACCCCCAGACCTCAGAGCCTCTGTTCAGAGTATATTTTTCCTGCTGGAAGACTCTTCCCTTTCCTTGACTAGCTTCTATTTACTTTCCCGACCTCAGCTTAAATTCATATGCTTAGGTGGTCTTTTCTGGACCTTTGTTAGCATTCCCCAACCACTCAACCATTTTGAAAACTAAATAAAAACACCTTTTTAAAATAAATCTCTCTCAATTTTTTTTTTATTTTGAGACGGAGTCTTACACTGTCGCCTAGGCCGGAGTGCAGTGGCTCCATCTCGTCTCACTGCAACCACTGTCTCCCAGGATCAAGCAATTCTCCTGCCTCAGCCTCCCAAGTAGCTGGGGTTACAGGTGCCCACCACCACGCCCAGATCTCTCTTTTTTTTTTTTTTTGTATTTTTAGTAGAGATGGGGCTTCACTATGTCGGGCGGGCTGGTCTCAAACTCCTGATCTTGTGATCTGCCCACCTTAGCTTCCCAAAGTGATGGGATTACAGGCATGAGCTCTCTCTAATTTTATTTATTTATTTTTAATTATTATTATACTTTAAGTTCTAGGGTGCATGTTCACAATGTGCAGGTTTGATACATAGATATACATGTGCCATGTTGGTTTGCTGCACCCATCAACTCGTCATTTACATTAGGTATTTCTCCTAATGCTCTCTCTCATTTTTTACAAACATTAATTTCATTTATTTTTTCCAGCTTTATTGGGATATAATTGAAAAATAAAAATTACATATATTTAGGGTGTACAATGTGATGTTTTAATATATGTGGACACCGTGAAAGGACTGCCACAGTCGGCTAATTAATATATCCATCACCTCACACAGTTACTGTTTGTGTGTGTGTTGTAAGAACACTTGAGATCTTTCATTTTTGTAAAATTTAAGTGCAGTATACAATAAATTATTATTAACTATTGTGTTTAGCAATGACACATCTCCATATGAGAAACTGAACTCTAGTTACCTATGTAAGTGATTATTTGAATAAGGTCTGCCCCCTTCAATAGACTCAGCTCTCCCCGAAGGCAGCAAATGCACCTATGTCCAAGTCTTTGATGCATGCTCTCCCTTTCTTGAAGTGTCAGGTTGCAGATATTTTCTTTATTGTATGAAGGGATTTACTGGTCCTTTTAGAAGAGATGCTCTTCTAAGGTGGTATCACACATGATTAGGGCCAAATGAGATAAACTGAGGAAATAATATCAGGGGGCTCTGGTGAAAACAATCACTTTGAATTACTGCCCGGGTGTTGCCTGGCTATTCAAACTTAAGCCGGTCTCATTTTCTTCCTGAAATTTACTTTTGTTCTGTGTTTTAATGTATAAAATGGAGGTTATAATAGCTGTACAAGGTTGTTTCAGGAATTAAATAAGGTACAAAAGGAAAGACAAAACACTCTGGGTAGTGTTCCTATCTGTCAAACTGGAGAGGAATTGATACAAACAGGAGGCAGGGAAATACTGAATAGATGAGAGCAGCTCCCCAGCAAAAGCACCACGCTCAAGTCTGGAAACCCGTGGGCCTAAATGGGAACAGGCATTCCTGTTTTCATGCCCAAATGTTGCCTTTGCTTGCCATGCCCCCCTGCCATCCCGTACCCATATAAACCCCAAACTCCAGGCTCCATGAACAGGTGAACAGAAGAGCAGAAGAGCAGAAGAACAGCATGGCAAAGAAGAAGGTAAGAGAAGGAGCATCTGAACATCAGGTGGTGTTTGTCTGGGGATGGTCAAAGAAAAGATTGGCCATGAGATGACCAAACTCCAGGGGAAGATTATCTTCCCACTCCATCCCCTTTCCAGCTCCTCATCCATCCTGCTGAGAGCCACCTCCACCACTCAATAAAACTCCTACATTCACCCTTCAAGTCCATATGTGACCTGATTCTTCCTGGACACTGGGCAAGGACCTGGGTACCAAGAGGACAAGGTGTAAAAGTCCACTGAGCTGATCAACACTTAGCCATCTGCGGACAGCAACTGCTAAAAGGACATTAATTGTAACACACTCCTAGATGCCACCATGAGGCTGGAGACCAAAAGTGTTCACTCCGGCTCCTGCACCTGCCCATCTGCATGCTACCTGTCCTATAAGGGGTTTGAGCATGCAGCCACCAACAGACGAGCCACACCCGTCTCATGTCCTGTGAAGGGGTGCCAGGGAACTCTCCTGTTTCAGAATCTCAGTAGACTTTCTTTTCTGCGGATGTGTGAAGGCTGACCGTACTATGTCCTTGAGTCAAGATGGTGCTTTTTTGGTAATAGAGAAACTTGTATTGTATAACTCTAAACAGCTATAAAAGCAGTAAATATCATTATTAACACAGTCACTATGTATTAAGTATTTGTGTATTTTATAAAGTTTTCTCTTTGTTTTATCATCAGATCTGCCCATGTACCCTCATGGCTTCCTTTGAATTTTGAGGATGCTGGTGCTGCTCCCCATTCGTCAGGCACTGATGCTCCCTTGAAGCCCACTGATGGGTCCTGTGGTTGTCTACTGTCCATGTCAGTTACTGAAGCAGTACATGAAGAGATGGAACTCTGAGCACGATGTCATCAGAAATAAATGAGGATATGAGTTAGGAAGAGTAATATAACTTGAAAATAATCCTTTGGAATGAATTTGTTCTGACTTTTGAGAGAAGAAGGGAGTACTATACCAGGGACTGAGCAAACAACAGCAGGACCAACAATTCAAGGGAAGGCAAATTAGATGCTACATTGCAAGAGGCTTGGAGAATTGGTTATTAGGTCTCTGCATCCTGACAAAGATAAATACATTAATAGATCATAGAAAGAGTGTTTGCTGAGAGCAAAAATAATCTGCCCACAGTGACGTCTCCAAAATGATTTCTGGAGAAAAAAGGGACTCTAGCTGTAAGATTGGTTTCTCCTATTAGAAAGAACCCTGTAAATAAAATTTCTTTTCTTGAAAAGAAAAGGAAAATATAATGAAAGAATAATTATGTTTCTGGTGGTGGGATGTGGAACAGATAAAAATATTTAGCTGAGGCAATTATTTCCAGTGCTGGTGTTTTGTTTTTGCTGCCTAAAATAATTGAATAAATGTCTTCTAATCTTAAAGCACTTGTCAGTCCAAATCTAAAATAGCCTCATGTTTATGTAGAGACATTTAGAATTCTTAACCCGCACAACAAGGCATTATATCTTTATCTACAGACAGTTGGGAGGACTTTCTTTAGCATCCTGTTCACTAAATTGAACCTCCAAACAAACACAAAGGTTATATAACTACTTTTACTTATCCATTCATTGATTCATTCAATGAATTATTGAGATTCAAATGTTGCATTAGATGCTTAGAATATAGCATTGAATAAGGAAAACGAGGCCTCTGTTTTCTTGGAACTTCTATTATAGAGGAGAGGCCACCAGTTGATACCGTAGCTGACAGTGTAAGCTTAGATGGTGACAAAAATGGAACAGGATGATGGGTTTGACTGACTCTTTACACTTTTGACTAGAATGACCAATGAAGTTCATCTGAAGAGATGATATGTCAGTGAAAACATGACTAAAGAAAGGAATATAACATGGGAAGATCTGGAGGTTGAAGCAAAAGAGAATGAATCAGGACAAAACAACAACAACAATTGTAATGAATCAAAAAGGAAATACTCTTGATGCAACAAGAAGGAAAACAAGGCCTGGAAGCATCAGTGTCCTGAGTGGGGCTGATACAAGATCCTGTAGGGCCTGTGGAACAGGTAAGGAATTTGAAATTTTCCTGTGAACTCCCCCTCCTCCTCCTGCTAAAACCCACTCTACTGTACCTTTGCGTCACACTGTTTACGAAATGCTATCTATCTGTCACTTCATTCAATACCATAATAACCTGGGCAAGGGTGGTATTCCCGTTTAACAGTGAGTACGTGATGAGTACAAATGAGTGCACCTGCCTGAGATGCTATCACTTTTCAGCCTTGCAATTTGTCACTTCATTCACATGCATTACCACATTAAATGCTTTCAGTAGTCATGAACATAAGCTTTCTGGTGTCAGGAATGTCCTTTATTCTTCCCCAAGCTAGCAAGCTTCTCCAATTTGTACATCCTTTCCTTACATCATTACCAACCTAAAGTATTCTCACCTCTCTGTTCCCATAATAGCTGTTCATGGAACATGTATTATATTGCATTACAATCATTGCTCTCTTTGCCCATCTCTCTCTCACTGGTCTATGAACTCCTCAATGACAGTGACTCTGTCTTTTTATCTTCAGTGTCTAGAGCAATATCTGTCTATCATATCATTGTGAATAGACAACAAAAGAAATGCTTCTAGAGTCAGAGTAAAAATGCTTTTTCCCTCAATTTCAGTTTCTTTTAAACTATTTTCTCACCCTAATTTTGTCTAACATTTCCTGAGGGCCCCTTAAGATTAGATCTTTAAGTATCTGCTCTGTGACACAGTTTGCTAAGGTGTTAACAGTTTCTAATGACTTTCCATAAAAGCCCAGCAAGGTAACACATTTGCAGGTAAAGCAATGTCCCCATGAAGAAAGATTGCGTTAACCCAAGGTGATCTAGGTTTCAGGCTCTGGGGAAAACAGTGATAACATCACTTGTTTTACCTTGGACTTGTGATCACTAACACATGTTTATTGAGCCTGTACAAAGAACAAGGCAGGAGGTTAGGTGCTAGGGTTACAGTGAATAGGAAACACTGCCAAGTAAACTCACAATTACAAAAACATGCATTAGATACCTTCTATGACAACAGAAAGCACAAGGTGCAGTGAAGGCATGTAGAAGGGACATGTTTTTCTGTCTTAAAGGACTAGGGGAGACTTACCAGGGAATATATGCATTTAACTTTGCCCAACTATCTTTTATATCATATATGATCAAAAATGTGGAACCTTTTGCTTGAAGTAATGTCTAAGCAGAGTCTTAAAAAATAAGAATTACTAGATGTAAATGTCTATGAGTTTGTATGTGTATTTTGAGTAGAGGACCTGTGGTTTCAATTGAGCCCACTGAAATTGATTCAAACCACATGGTATTAGCTCTGCTCATACAGTCAATGTGTTTAACCTCCCTGGCTCTTAGCAAGGTCCTCTGGAAAATAAAAATTTTAAGTAGCAGTTATTTATGTAATTATAGTGATGGTTTTGAGGTTTGCGTGGCATAATTTACAAAATACTTAGAAAAATGACTAGGCAGTTGACCTTTTCAATAAGTCTTAGCCTCTGTTAGCATTGCTGTTGTTCCCATTACTGTTACTGGACTAAGAGTAATTATTAGAGGTGATAAATGATATATGCAAATATTCAAAATATATGAATGTTCTACATGCGCAAACTGAGGCCACAAAGACGTTACTTGACTTATGCCCATGATGTATTTAAAGCAGAGTCTGAGGATGCGTTTCTCTTAACTATCCTTTAGAGGCTTCTGTTTTCACAAGGCCACGCTCTGCCTCCCCCTCACTAAAGTGAGCCATCTTCTCTATTCACCCTGAATCACACTGATCAACATGTGGGAGATTAACCAACTACTGACCTCCACACCATCCAGAGTCCCAACCCAGAAGGAACAAAGATCCTGACATTAATGTATAATTCATTTAGAAATTAGTCTAGGGGAGATGAGAAGGATAAAATCTGGGGCACGTTAGATAAAAGTTCTACTTCAACTTCTGAATTCATCACCTGCTTGGTATTGCTCACAAAAGAAAGAGGCTAAGGTAGCACAGAAATGCACTACTAGTATTCGATAAATTCCAAAAAGCAGGCAGTTAGTCTTGGTAATTTTGATTTTAGGAATAAGTGTAACTGGATACAGAAAGATGTTGATATTTCTTTTAAAATAAGCAGCAGATATGATGCATAGTAACAATAATACTCCAGCCTCACCCTTCTCTAAATCATTTTTCTGAAATGACCACAGCAGCTCAAGGGCTAACAGTTGATTCAAGGTGTATCTAGTACTGCACCTGGATATAAGGATGCTATGTTGAGAATCTGTGCGTAACCTCAAAAGGGGATCTTTAGAATATTTAAACAAAAGAAATGTATGACAACATTTGTGACTCAAAAAAGTTACTGAAACTGCGAGTTGCAGAATGTGTTACAAGGTGATAAGACCAGAGATAGAAGCTCAGGTAGGAGGCTATTGCAGTTATTCAGGTGAAAGACTATGAGTACATAATTACAGAACTGTACTTGGTATTGAGATAAAAGAAAGGCAGGAAGACAGAGAAAATAGTGGGTGCATGACTGAATTTGGAGGAGTGAAAGCAAATTAATCAAATGGTGGAAATAACTTGTGTTGAGTTAAAGTGATGGAATGGAAAAGCTGGAGAAGACAGAATTTTAGGAATGAAAGGACAGCAGTGGTGTCCTGGTAAGCGTTTATCAACTAGCTTTCTTTTAAAAAGTGATTATATTTATATATGTGTGTGTGTGTGTGTGTGTGTGTGTGTTCTTAGCATTTTGTCTCTCTTAATATCTGTAAAATTTATAAAAGCATTTGTGTGCTTTACAAATAATGATACAATTTACAAATAATGTCAAATATACAACGGCATTTATTGTAAATTCTACACACCTGTAACTTCAGCAGGACCTGCTATTTCTTGCAAAATCTACCACAAGTTTTTATAATTCTATTTCCAACAGAAGTGATACAAAAATAAACCCATGAATAAATGTTTGTTTAGTATCCACTTAAGCAAAGTCACTCACATCATTGGCAAAATAATGTAGTTCCAATATAAATGTCAGTTAATGTTTTTTCATTTATAATAACAAGCAAAATCAAAGTGAAACAGCAAAGATATATGTTAGAACTTCACTTATTCGTCAGTAGGTCATGTGAACAACATCTTTGTTGAATTGGTAAGAGTTGTGTAATACTAGGTGAATACTTTCCCAATATGTTGTGTTTTTCACGATGTAATGGTTACAAACATGACATACTTCTAAGTTTAATGTGTATTATTTATATTTTCTCCAGCACTTTCTTAAGTTTGGACAATCAACAAAACCATAAATCAAACTCGATTTGCAGCATTTTCTCATTTCTGTGGTGGAAATACTGTTATGATGGCCTGCTTCAAGCTACCCATGTGACGTCACTGAATATGGAGTTGGTGTCATATTTCCACCATACTCTCAATAATATATATAATATTAAAATATGAAACAATATTTATGAAGTGACTTTTGTTATTTATCTTGATTTTTAATGTAATTTATTAACATTTATATAATTATAATTACAATGATATAAATATATTTATATATAAATATATAATATACAATTATATATATTAATTATATTTATATCATTGTAATTATATAAATTATAATATAACATAATATATTATATAACTATATATAATTTATTACATAATTATAATTATTTGAATTTTTATAATTTAACTTTTAATAATGTCTGTGTTTAATCAACAGTTTGCAAAATTAATGAAAATTTATTTATTTATTTATGTTTTTTCTTTCCAAGTTTTATGTTCAAGGATGTACATGTGCAGGTTTGTTATATAGGCAAATTGTGTGTTGTGGGTAGTTGGTGTACAGATCATTTTGTCACCCAAGTAATCAGCATAATACACAATAGGTAATTTTTCAATCCTCACCCTCCTCCCATCTTCTAAGCTCAAGGAGGCCCTGGTCTCTTCTTCATGTCCCTTCTTTGTGTCCACACTTACTTAGTGTTTAGTTTCCACCTATACTTGACAATATGTGGTGTTTGGTTTGCTGTTCCTATGTTAATGTGGTTAGGATAATGGCCTCCAGCTCCATCCATGTTGCTGCAAAGGACGTGATCTTGTTTTTTTTTTTTAATGGCTATGTAGTATTCCATAGTATATATGCACCCCATTTTCTTTAGCCAGTCCACCACCGATGTGCACCTACATTGGTTCTATGTCTTTGCTATTGTGAAGAGTGTTGTGATAAATGTATGCATGCATATGTGATAAACGTACGTCTGCATATGTTTTTATGGTAGAACAATTTATATATCTTTGGGTATATATCCAGTAATGGGACTGCTGCGTCAAATGGATCTGCTTTAAGTTCTTTGAGAAATCTTCAAACTGCTTTCCACAGTGGCTGAACTAATTTACATTCCCACCAGCAGTGAGACACACATTGCACAGGGTGTTTCCTTTTCTCTGCAACCTCTCCAGCATCTTTTTGTTTTTTACAATAGCCATTCTGACTGGTGTGAGATGATATCTCATTGTGATTTTGATTTGCATTTCCCCAATGATTAGGGATACTGAGCATCTTTTCATATGCTTGTCGGCCACAGATACGTCTCCTATTAAGAAGTTTCTGTTCATGTCCTATGTCCACTTTTTAATGGGCTTATTTGTTTTTTGCTTGATCATTTATTCAAGTTCATTATAGATTCTGGATATTAGACCTTTGTCAGATGCATAGTTTGCAAATGTTTTCTCATATTGTGTAGGTTGTCTGTTTGTTGTGATGACAGTTTATTTTGCTTTGCAACAGTTATTTAGTTTAATTAGGTCTCTTTTGTTAATTAATAAAAATATAACTATTGGCTTTCATGAGCCAGTGAAATTACCCCAGCATACCACTCAATGAAAGTTTCAATACAGAATAAGTAGAGATGAAATATGAAATCTTCAAGAAGGTCAGAATTGAGACAGTATTATAAATGTTAATTTTTTATCTGTACATGTGAATGTGTATATGTATATAAGTATGTCCTGGGGTAAGGGTATATTCTTAAACATTAACATTTTTACTAACTAACTTTATTTTTGTTTGTTTGTTTGTTTGTTTGAAATGGAGTCTCGCTCTGTCACCCAGGCTGGAGTCAGTGGCGCGATCTCGGCTCACTGCAAGCTCCACCTCCCAGGTTCATGCCATTCTCCTGCCTCAGCCTCCCAAGTAGCTGGGACTACAGGTGACTGCCACCATGCCCGGCTAATTTTTTGTATATTTAGTAGAGACAGGGTTTCACCGTGTTAGCCAGGATGTTCTCGATCTCCTGACTTCGTGATCCACCCGCCTTGGCCTCCCAAAGTGCTGGGATTACAGGTGTGAGCCACGTGCCCTGCCTACTAAACTAACTTTATACCACCTGGCTATTTTGGCCTATGGTTCATTTTCACTGTGTTGGACTTTGCCTGTGTTCCTTACTCAACTGCGGTTTCCACCACCAAACATCTGTCAAGGGATGGTTCTTCACGTACTAGATAGGAGGCTTTAATCAAAAAACACAAAGGTAATTTCCAGGACTATGTCACATTGGTAGCATATCTCACAAATCATAGAATATCATGGTAAATTTGGGTGCTTTTCTGCTTATTCCCTCATATGTAGGAATGGTTCTCTGTTGAACTCTCAAATGTGGGCATTTGCCTTTGCTGGAAAATTTTGATATCTTATAAACTAGTTTATTCCCTCTATCAAGTAATTTAGCATCCTTAAGAAGGCAATGTTGAAGATTAAATTGTAATGAAGTTTTATTACTGATTTCAAATATAGGGGTGAATGATTTTGAAGGTCAGAAAGAAGGCTAATTTTGTCCTACTGAATATTGCAGACACCTTGATCCAATTTTATCTCTGAAGCTTATCCCTGTGCACTCTGGCTGCCCCAGCGGCTATGGCTCTCTTGGGAAAAAATCAGCCACTGAGGAGGGTTTAATGACCCTGACAGTCTTCCACAGCTCCTTTGTGCCTCTTGGCAGCTGGGTGTAAAACTCTCCCCAGGGCCTAGTAAACCAGTAAAATCTCAGAGCTAACTGAAAGGCAGTTTGAAAGCATCTAGTCCAACTTCCACTTTTCATACATAGAGCTATTTGGATTCAGAGATGCAAAGATGGAGAGGTTACAGAGCTGGAGTTGATGCTCAGGTGTCTGCATCTCTATCCAGGTAGACTTGTTCCTATCACAGAGGTCCCTCCTACAGACCATCAGACATTGCATAGGGTGTAACTAAAATTTAGATGGTGGTGTCGAGACTCAGTTCTATGGTATTTTAGCAGAAGGGTAATCAAAAACAAGAAATATTAGTATAAACATACCTATGGGGGTATATAACAGAATATCTGAAAATGGGTAATTTATAAAGAACACAAATTTATCTCTTACAATTGTGAAGGCTGAAAAGTCTTGATGAGGGAACTCTCTGGAGAGCCTCAAGGTAACACAGGGAATCATACGGCAAGGGGGCTGGGTGTGCTAGCTGAACCCTCGTTGCCTCTTCTCATAAAGCCACCAATCTCACTCTCAGCATAGCCCATTTACTCATTAACCCATTAATCCATAAATAGATCAATCTATTCATGACGGCAGAGACCTCATGACCTAATCACCTCTTAAAGGCCTCACCTTGTGATATATCACATTGAGGATTCAGTTTCTTTTCTTGTTTTTTTAACTTTTATTTTAGATTTGGGATTACATGTGAAGGTTTGTTACATAGTAAACTTGTTTTGCAGGGTTTGTTGTATAGATTATTTCATCACCCACATACTAAGCCTAATACTCAATAGTTATTTTTTTCTGTTCCTTCACCTCCTCCCACCTTCCACCCTTCGAAAGGTCCCAGTGTGTCTTGTTCACCTCTGTGTGTACATGTATTCTTATTCATTAGCTACCACTTATAAGTGAGAACATGCAGTGTTTGATTTTCTATTCCTGTGTTAGCTTGCTAAAAATAATGGCCTCCAGCTCCATCAGTACCTTTCAAAAGACATTATCTTGTTTGAATTTGAACAGTTCAACACTCAAAAAACAAACAACTCCACTAAAAAGTAGGCATGACTTTTAGATATTCATGTCCACTTTTTAATGGGGTTGTTTGTTTTTTGCTTGTTGAATTATTTAAGTTCCTTATAGATTCTGGATATTAGATCTTTGTCAGATGTATAGTTTGTGAATATTTTCTCCCATTCTATGGGTTGTTGGTTTAGTCTCTTGATAGTTTATTTTGCTGTGCAGAAGCTCTTTAGTTTAATTGGGTCTCACTTTTTAAATTTTTGTTTTTGTTGCGATTGCTTTTGGGAACTTAGCCAAAAATTCTTTGCCAAGGCTGATATCAAGAAGAGAGTATTTCCTAGGTTTTCTCTAGGATTTTTAGAGTTTAAGGCCCCACATTTAAATCTATATCTTGAGTTAATTTTTATATATGGCGAAAAGTAAGGGTTCTGTTTAATTCTTCTGCCTGCCACTAGCCAGTTATCACAGCACAATTTATGGACTACAGAGTCCTTTCCCTGTATCTTGTTTTTGTCGACCTTGTCAAAGATCAGATGGGGCTGGGCGCAGTGGCTCATGCCTGTAATCCCAGCACTTTGGGTGGCCGAGGTGGGTGAATCACGAGGTCAAAAGATCAAGACCATCCTGGCCAACATGGTGAAATCTCGTCCCTACTAAAAATAGAAAAATTAGCTGCATGTGATGGCATGCGCCTGTAGTCCCAGCTACTTGGGAGGCTGAGGCAGGAGAATTGCTTGAACCCGGGAGGTGGAGGTTGCAGTGAGCTGAGATTGCACCACTGCACTCCAGCCTTGTGACAGAGCATGACTGAATCTCAAAAAAAAAAAAAAAAAAAAAAATCAGATGGTTGTAGGTATGTGGCTTTATTTATGAGTTTTCTATACCATTCCTTTGGTGTATGTATCTGGTTTTGTACTAGCATCTTGCTGTTTTGGTTAGTGTAGGCTTGTAGTATAGTTTAAAGTTGGGTGATGTGATGCGTCTGGATTTGTTGTTTTTGCTTAGGATTTCCTTGGCTATTCAGAGTTTTTTAGGGTTCTATATAAATTTTAAAATAGTTTTTCTAATTCTGTTAAAATGAGGTAGGTATTTGAGAGAAATACGATTGAATCTGTAGATTGCTTTGGGTAGTATGGCCATTTTAATGATGTTGCTCCTTCCAAACCGTGTGCATGGAATATTTGTCCATGTATTTGTGTTAACTCTGATTTATTTCATCAGTGTTTTGTAGGTTTCTTTTTAGAGACCTTTCACTCTCTTAGTTAGCTGTATTCCTAGGTATTTCATTTTCTTTCTGACTATTGTAAATGGGATTGTGTTCTTGATTTAACTCTTAGTCTGGACAATATTGTTGTATAGAAATGTGACTAATTTTTGTGCATTGATTTTGTATGCTGAAACACCTATTCTAAATATTTACACCCCCCAAATTGGGGTAAACCCATACCTAGTTTCATAAAATAGATACTTATTGGCCTATGGAAAAGACATAGATAACCACAGGAGAGTAGTGGAAATGTTCAGCAGTTCACTGATAGCAGTACACAGATCATCAAGGCAGAATACTGACAAAGAACCACTGGACTTAACTTGACACTTGACCAATTGGACCTAACAGACATCTGCAGAACACTCCACCCAACAATCAAAGAATATGCATTTTTCTAATCTGCACACGGAACATATTCTAAGATCAACAACATATTCAGTCATAAAACAAGTCTCAGTAAATTTTAAAAAAGAAAATCATACTAAGCACACTCTCAACTCATAGTACAATAAAAACTGGAAATCAATATCCAGAAGATTTCTGGTGACAACACAGGTACATGTAAATTTAACAACTTTCTCTTGAATAAGTACTGGGTGAACATTGAAATTAAGGCAGAAATCAAAAAATATATTCCAAATTAATGAAAATATGGACACAATTCACCAAAATCTTTGGGATGTCACAAAAGCAGTAATAAGAGGAAAGCTTATACCCAAAACAACCTCATCAAAAAGTTAGAAAGGTCTCATATTAATCATCTAACTCTGCACCAAAAGGAACTAGAAAAAAAAAACAACCTTAGAACTAGCAGAAGAAAAGAAATACCTAATATTAGAGGAGAATTTAATGAAACTGAGATGCAAAACTATACAAAACATCAATAAATCCAAGAGTAGTAGATTCTACCAAAAAAGAAAGAAAGAAAAACAAAGATTGATAGAACGCTGGCTAGATTAACAAAGAAAAAAAAAGAAAAAGATCTAAATAAGTACAATCAGAAATGACAAAGATGACATTCAACTGATCCCACAGAAATACAAAAGATTATCAGAGAATACTATGAACAAATCTATGCACACAAATAATAAAATCCAGAAGAAATGGATAAATTCCTGGAGACACACAATCTTCTAAGATTGAATCAGGAAGAGATTTAAAACCTGTAAAGACCAACATTAAGCTTTGAAATTGAATCACTAATAAAAAACCTATCAACTACAAAAAGCCCTGGACCACATGGAGTCACAGCCAGATTCTACAAGATGCATAAAAAAGAACAGGTACCAATCCTACTGAAACTATTCTGAAAAATTAAGGAGGAGGGACCCCTCCCTAACTCATTCCATGAAGCTAGCATCAGCCTAATGCCAAAATCTGGCAGAGACACAATGAATAAAGAAAACTTCAGGACAAAATCCCTGATGATCACAGAAACAAAAATCCTCAACAAAATACTATCAAACTAAATCCAGCAGCACATCAAAAATTAATTCACTATGATCAAGTATGCTTTATCCTGGGATGCAAGACTGGTTCAATGTATGTGTATTACTCTGTTCTTATGCTGCTAATACAGACATACCCGAGACTGGGTAATTTATAAAGGAAAGAGTTTTAATGAACTTACAGTTCCACATGGCTGGGGAGGCCTTGCAATCATGGTGGAAGGCAAAGGAAAAGCAAAGGAACATCTTACATGGCAGCGGGCAAGAGGGCACCTGCAGGGGAACTCTCCTTTATAAAGGCATCAGATCTCATGAGACTCATTCACTGTCACAAGAACAGCATGGGAAATACCCGCCCCATGATTCAATTACCTCCCACCAGGTCACTCCAATGACATGTGGAAATCATAGAAGCTACAATTCAAGATGAGATTTTGGTGGGGACATAGCCAAAACATATCAATATGTAAATCAATAAATACGATTCACCATATAAACAGAATTAAAACACAAAGTGTATGAACCTCTCAATAGAGGCAGAAAAATATTTAAATATAATTTAATATCCCTCATGAATAAAAACCCTCAACAAACTAGGCATCAAAGAAACATACCTCAAAATAATAAGAGTCATCTGTGACAAACACACAGCCAACATCATACTGAACAGGAGAAAGCTGAAAACATTTCCCTTGAGAACTGGAACAAGACAAGGATATTCATTCTCACCATTCCTATTCAACATAGTACTGGTTAGACCAATCAATCAAGAGAAAGAAATAAAAGCTATTCAACTAGGAAAAAAAGAAGTCAATCTACCTCTTTTTGCTCATGATATGATTCTTTACTTAGAAAATTCTAAAGTTCCTGATGAAAGGCTGCTAGAACAGGTCTTTTTTAAATATTATTTTATTTATTACTATTATTTTTATTTTTTCAGATGGTGTTTTGCTATTGTCTCCCACGCTGAAGTCCAATGGCGCAATTTCGGCTCACTGCAACCTCTGCCTCCCGGGTTCAAGCGATTCTCCTGCCTCAGCCTCCCGAGTAGCTGGGATTACAGGTGCCTGCCATCACACCTGGCTAATTTTTTGTATTTTTAGTAGAGATGGGGTTTCACCATGTTGGCCAGGCTGGTTTCAATCTCCTGATCTCAAGTGATCCACCCACCTTGGCCTCCCAAAGTGCTGGGTTTACAGGCGTGAGTCACTGCACCTGGCCTTTTTTTAAAATTTAAATCTATTCTGACAGTGTCTGCTTTTCAACTGGAATGTTTAGTCTATTTACATTTAAGGTATGTATTGATATGGTTATTCAATCACATTACTTGTTATCTATTTAATTGTCTTCTTGTGGATTAAGTTTTTATTTTTATTTTTTATGATTATTTTTCAATATTCCTTTTTATCTCTTCCCTTGGCTTTTTATAAATACTGATTATATAGTTTCTTTTTCAGGAGATATTATATGGATTATTATTATTATTATTAGCATTATTATTGTCATTTTATATGAATAAATATACTACTTATTGTATGCTCTATAAATACTGATTATATAGTTTCTTTTTCAGGAGACATTATATGGATTATTATTATTATTGTTAGCATTATTATTGTCATTTGATATGAATAAATATACTACTTATTGTATGCTCTAAGGACCTTAAAAGGCGAACCTTCAGTTACAGGCTTTCTGTCCTTTGTGTTATTACTTTCATCCATTTATTTCTTTCATCCATTTATTTCTACCTATGCAATAAACATTATATTAAAATGCATGGTTTATATTTTTGCTTTAAAAATCAATTGTCTTTCAAAAAACTGAGAAAGAGAAAATGTTTTCCCACGTATTTTTCATTTCTGTTGCTCTTCATTCCATTGCATAGATCCAAATTTCTATTTGGCATCATTTTCCTTCAGCTTAAAAATCATGAAAATATTAATAATGTAAAAAAAAGATGAAAGGTTAAAAAAATTATTGCTAAGTTCTACAATATTTAAAACAAAAAGGAAAGCAAAAACCTTTCATTCTCAAGCTCTGTCTTGTTCAAAGTCAAGGATTCTTAGCAAAGAAAACTTCTTTATCATTGATCTTAATGATTAAATTAACTAAAACTTTAGTCGTAAAAACCAATTGGATAGTTTTCAGCAATTGTTCACACGTATTTATTGAGGTTTTTGGTAACATTCGCACACAAAATAGACTCCTGACTAGAAGGATTGAAAACATGGCAAATTGATTATAAAAACAGGAGCATTATTAAGGAACACATTTATTTATTTTATGACTACAAATCCATTTTATAAAAAGTTATTCGTATTTTTATTCTTAATGTCTTTCTGATCCTATGCTATAATTGTTGAATTGTTTCTTTTTAACCCGCAAGATAAATATTATTAGCCTTGCTTTTATAAATGAAGTAACTGAGGATCAAAGAATGAAAAGCACTGGACCCATGTATTTCAGCTTGATAAGGTCATGCCACGATTCTGAGCACAAGAAAGTGTTACCTACAGTCAGTTCACCATATCATGTCTACAGATTATTTGCAAGAAGCTTCTTAAGTATAAGGTTTATTGAGAAAACATTTATATTTTTTTTTGTTGAGACAGAGTCTTGTTCTGTTGCCCAGGCTAGAGTGCAGTGGCGCGATCTTGGCTCACTGCAAGCTCCACCTCCTGGGTTCATGCTATTCTTCTGCCTCAGCCTCCTGAGTAGCTGGGACTACGGGCGCCCACCATCACGCCCAGCTAATTTTTTGTATTTTCAGTAGAGACGGGGTTTCACCATGTTAGCCAGGATGGTCTTGATCTCTTGACCTCTTGATCCACCCGCCTTGGCCTCCCAAAGTGCTGAGATTACAGGCGTGAGCCACCGCGCCCGGCCGAGAAAACATTTTATAAATTGCATGTGATTCAGTGTGCTAATAAATTACAGCTAAAAGGCCAGGATTTAAATGCCCTCAGGCAAGTCATTTAGTTTTCAAAGTCAGAGTTTCCTTGAAATTACTGAGACTATCAAGTGGCTGGAGTAGAGTGGATGTTCAATATTTTTCTTATGAATACGTGTATAAGTAAATGTAACCTTTCCTTTCCAAAAATGCTTACATTTTTATAACGTAAAAATGTAAGCATTCTGTTAGAATGACAGGAGAGAAAATATGTTTGAATTACTATTTTTAATGAAGAATTTTAAAAGAAATTTGTATTTATTTGGAGTAGGGTTTAATAAATTATGAAGACAAGAAACCTTCTCCACCTATTTTAATGAAAACATTTAAATCACCATATTAGTTGTTTTTATATTAGTAAATGTCACTAGGTCTTAGATAAAGTAAAAGACTCATCTGCAGTGATGCTTACTACAATAATTTGCTCATGTTATGTCCCCTGATTTCATAAAACCTACATTATGTATCATCTAGGACAGATCAGTGAATATTTGTTTGCCTCATATTCTTGATGGGTAAAAAGAAGATAAAGCGATACCTAAGTCATAGTCTTACTGTGAGAAGTAAGGAAGATAAGATATATACCTCAATACCGACCACACAATCTTTAAGAGAATATAGATCAAATAAATTACAAATAACAACTAGGGGCAGTATAGTTACATTCTGAAATACTTTGATTCAGGTTTCATGCTTGTCTCATACAAACTGTGTGGCCTTGAGTGAGTTATTTAATGACACTCCCTCAGTTTTTTTATTTGAAAAATAGAGATATGAATGCTACTTACATCGAATTTCTGTAGGTGTGTTGGGATGTTTAAATAAGACGATGATAAAGTTAGTATTAATTAGGAATCTACCATGTGTGAGACAATGTTCTAATCCTTTGCCTGGAACACTTTGTGCTTACGAGGGATAAAGCATGGTGAAGAACATAAACTGAGACCCTCCCGTCCAAATTCAAATCTGGGCTTTGCCGCTCATTGGCTGTAAACGTTAGCAAGTTGCCTGGCCTTTCTGCAAATCAGTTTCCCCATATAGAAAATGAATGCTAATAGTATCTAACAAATAGCCTTGTTGTGAGGATTGGCAAATGATAAGCACTCAATTCCTCTTAGCTACTGTTATCATCTTTACTAAGCAGATACAATTATGCTCTGATCTTAGGAATTAGCTTTCATTTTATTTCCAGGTCTGCCAAAAAGCTAGTTACTGAATGTTGCCCCTGCGTCTCACTATTCTATTCTGTCAGATGCAGATACTAAAACCTTCCCTGGCCACCCTAACAGGCTGCAAGTATCAAAAGTGTGAATGTCGTTAAATGGATTATGGCTTTAGACCAAGAAGGTTCTTGAAGATCCAATTGTCAAACCCTGTATTTTCTGAATAAGTAACTTCAGGGGTCCTTGACTTGTTCTGGAGCTTGTCCAGGTTCACACATCAGCACTGGCACTTCCCAAACTTGACACGATTTCCATACCTACTTCTTTGACGGCACCATCCACCAAACAAAGACTTGTCAAATTATTTAAAAACTACCAGAAACATATGGGTAGTGAACAAGTTCAATTTATTACCTGTTGCACAGACAAATAACACATATCATGAGGAATCATGGGGTGTCTCAGTAAGATGGTAATAGAAATAACTTTCTGTAGATTTGGGGTTTAGGTTAGGTCATTTGGGAGAGGACAGAAGGAGGGGAGAGTTTGCCAAAATTAGATGCTGTCAGAAAGCTGGAGGCAATTATAAGATTGGGTATCTCAAAAAATCTCATCTGGATGGAGAGCTGACTAGAACAAAAATAAAACTTCATTAGTAAAGAAGTAGACATCACTCATTTTGGCCAAGAGAAGGGCTGTTTGGTCTTTTGTAGGTGGCATACTGATATTGATTTTGTCTGTGCTTCCACAAAATTACGAAGTATCCTTGCTTTGCTTTATTGTATCATAGTCTTGGAGTAACCTTGTCTGAATTGGTGTTCTGAGAGACAGCTCATGTCCAACAGGAGTATAGCACAGTCAGGCACTGAGTGCTCAGCCAACTTCCACACCAGAGGTTACTCTTGGTCTCCCTTTGCCAGAGTTGAGCTCTTTCTTCAACTGTACCACCTGTAATTAGTGTCAACTTGAGTAAAAATTTAACTTTTCTGAAACCCAGGCTTCTCATCTGTGAAATGAGGATGCTGCCATAAATATTGAATTAGGGCATCCATTTCATGGGCCTTGCACTATGGCTGATCCTTTCAATGGGCACGGTGACCATGAGTTTGTGCTCTCTCACTCACCACAGTAACAACAAATTTAACTCCTACGTTTTCCATGTTTCTCACATGAGTTTTCCCGTAGTTCTTGGATTCCACTGTTTAATTAAAGCACGCAAGTGATTGTCTCACTTCTCAGACTGAATTATCCGTTCAGAAGAAAACCATAAGAGAGACTCACAACCAGGTAACCCAGCTGTTCTCCCAGAAGGGAAACAGATCGAACATAATATTTCTGCCAGCATGAATTTCCCAGTGGGTTCATCACACATCCTGACTTTTTTACTTATTCAGTGCCACTGGGTCAGGTGTGAAAACTGCCTCCCTCTGTTTTGCTGTCTGCAAAGGTGGTCTGCTGTTACAGATCATCTCCCAGCTGCAAGGGCCTAGAGAGAAGGTGAAAATTATGGAAATCTGAACCTGCTGCTGAATCCTGGATTGTCAAAGGCCTTTGCTCCAATGTACTCAGAATTAGGAGAGCCCATGGTCTTGGCAGCTGGCCTGTGCTATGCTACCTGTCTAGTTACAGGCATATTTACAAACTGGCTGTGATGGTTAGTTATATACGTTAGTTTGACTGGGATAATAAATGCCCAGGAAGCTGGTAAAGCATTATTTGTGGATGTGTCTGTGAATGTGTTTATGGAAGAGATTAGCATTGGAATCAACAGACTGAGTAGAGAAGATCTGCTGACGCCACAGAGGGTGAGCATCATCTGATGCACTGAGGGCCACACAAAACAGCAAAGTGAAGGAAGGGTGATTTCTCTCCCTCTTCTTGAGCTGGAACTTTCATCTTTTCATGCCCTTGGACATTGGAGCTTCTGGTTCTTGGGCTTCAATCTCCAGAACTTACACCAGGCTTCCCCACCTAGCACCTCCTTCAGTTATTAGACCAGACTGAATTACATCCCTGGCTTTTTAGGGTCTCCAGCTTGCAGATGACACCCTTTGGGACTTCTTGACTTTCATAATCATGGAAGTCAATTGCCATGATTAATCTGCTCTTATATAACTATACACACCCTATTGGTTCTATTTATCTGCAGAAGCGTAACTAATAATTGGCATGTCTTGGTTCAAAGGGAGAAGGAGAACAGACAAAAATTGCATATTTGAATTTTTCTATTCTTTGTGCACTCAGTGATTAATTCATCTTAGAACACATTTAAAAGGTAATCAAAAACTTAGACTTGGAACACGGCCTTTGAAGTAAAGTCAATTCAAACTCCAGTATACCTCTATAACGACTGAGCAGGCCATCTAACTGGCATGTATGTTAATGTCTTCCTCTGCATAATGGGGATGATATATCCATATATTGGGCACTGTATGATCCACATAAGATGATCTATGTAAAGCATCTAGAACTGTGACCAACACATTGAAATAACTTAATCAATTTTAGTTGTAAACTATTATTAGCTTTGCTTGTTTTATTATTATTATATCATCATCATCATCATCTTTACAATTCATTTTTTTTCAGTTTACAGCCAGAAAAAAAGGTTCTGAGTTCCTAGTTTTTATTTACTACCTGTCTAGTTACAGACAGGTTAATTCAGGTTAATTATTCTGAGTTGTAGTAACCGCTTATCCCTCAAGAAAATGACAGGATTTAAAATAAATGTATACAAAATGTCATGTACTGTACCTAACAAATGGTAGTCTATCAGAAAATGGTACCTTATATCCTCTGCCATACCACTGAGATGGACATCACACAGCTGCAGTCTAGGTGGGTCTTGTAGGGGTTCAAGGTAAAATCCTACAAAACTAGCCCAGCCATTAGTGGGACCCATTCTCGGGCCTTCTTCCAAAGGGCTCTGTCCCTAAGAGAAAATAGCCTCTTCTTTCAACTGCAACTGGCACAGCTTTCATGGGCTAATGGGGAGGGTTTGGTCAGATGTTCTCCAAACCCAGGGTGAACTTGCCAAATAGTTGCTCGCAAGGCCACATTCCTAAAGAGGAGCTCATAAGGTAGTACATTGTTATAAAATTTGAAAAAGTAAAATATTTTAAGAGCAACCTATTAAGAATGCTATCTCCTTCTTTGCCACCTTCCCCTCTGGCATACTTTCTTCATTTTGGGTGGCATTGAGGTGGTGTGGGCACTTGGAGCTTCAGTGATATCTTTATATAGGTAAGTCTATGTCTAGTTAAGTGATTGCTAACATTCTGATGGAGAAATGCTTTTCAAAAATTATTCTAATGCCCAGTGGGCTGATCCTTCTAATGCCCAGTGCCATGGCCTGAAAGTGTTGGACCCAAAGCATGCTGCATTGGGATGTTCCTCTGGCACCCAGAGGCGGAATATGTGTGGGGACACCACATTCACTCTGGGCAGTGAACAGTTCTTCTCCCCTAAATTCTTAAATACACTCTAACAAGTCATTGCCATATGTTCCTTTGTTCAACTCATATGCAGTCTTATAAGAGTAAAAGCATCAGCTCTGCTTTAAAAGGAAACAGATGACATCTAAATAGGTGACAAATTTATGTAGGTATTAAGTCCCATGTCCTCCAGCTGGTACAGGGACTGACAGCCAGTAACATATTCCTAAATTATTAATAGATCATCACCAATAAGTAAAACAAAAAATGATGTTTGAGAAAACAACTCAATGAACCATCTTTCTATTTTTGCCATAGAAAACTATACTATAAAATTAGTAATATAATTAACGAAGATATTGTAAAAAATATGCAACTGGGCTGGGCATGGTGGCTCACGCCTTTAATCCCAGCACTTTTGAGGCCAAGGAGAGTGGATCACTTGAGGTCACGAGTTCGAAACCAGCCTGGCCAAAATGGGGAAATCCCATCTCTACTAAAAATACAAAATTAGCCGGGTGTGGTGGCACATGCGTGTAGCTCCAGTTACTCAGGAGGCTTAGACAAGAGTATTGTTTGAACCCGAGAGGTGGAGGTTGCAGTGAGCAGAGACCGCGCCACTGCACTCCAGCCTGGGCAGCAGAGGGAGACTCTGTAAAAAAAAAAAAAAGAAAAAAAAAAGAAAAAAAAAAAGCAACTAAAAATAATAGGGAAATAAAAAGACCATAAAAAATATGCAACTAAAAATAATGGGATTATTTTCTACAGAATTTTGTCAGGCAGTATATTAATATGAATATTATGTTATTTTTATGGATGTGGTGATATTTGCCAGCTTCTTAATTTGTAATTTTTGAGTGTGTTTTAATTCTATTTAAAAATTAATTGTTGTAAATTATTATTTATATTTTAAATACCTGTTCTTAAACAGCAACCCCCAAAAGAAACCTTGAGCACCCAAAAACCTGTATCCATGACTAGAATAGAGACCTTTGGCATGTTATCATTTTTATTAGCAGAAAGTGACTCGATATATCTCTTAAACATACTTAGATGGAAACGGCAATAACTGGTAAGCCTCTTAATTGCAACTGAAGTAGAGAAAGGGTAGTAACACCCATGTTTAGCTGAGGAAAATAAATCAGAAATAGCAGGCGGTTATGAGGAGAAGACTGTGATAAAGATATTTGGAAAATATGATCCCTCTTATCTGCTTCCACTGAATAATTGATTACAGTTTGAGTAATTGCAATAGTTGGCTATCTGCTCTCTCTGCTGGTTGTGTCTTTTCATCTATTCCATGCTCCTCACACCTACCAGACTCATCTTTCCAAAGTATACATTCACTATAACCACATTTTTTACATTTTGCAAAAGCATCTACTGGCTTCTATAGCACAGGTTTTGTCCTTTGTGTAGATTACAAAAAGACACACTTCCAGGTGGACAGAGCCCTACAGGCCCATGGCTTAGCAAAAATACAGCACCTTTGCACACACACACTCACACACACATGTGCCAGACCTAGGTTACAAGACTTGGCTTGGCTTATAGAACGTAAATAAAATCTCAAACTCCACTGCCCCCTCAGCCAGGTAAATAACACATTTAGCCACTTGAAGGGACATTGGAGACCCACCTGGCCTTGCCTAGTTTGCAGGTGGATGCCAAGCTCCTCATTATATTGCATGAGACCTTTAACTGCCTGTCAATCTCCGTTTCATTTGCTGTAGTCTAGACAAACGAAAGTAACTGCTGATTTTCTACGCACTTCAATTTCCCCATGTTTCATTGCTATGGCACAGGTTTCATAGCTTGTTATTGAATATCCCCAAGCCTGTTTTGATTGATCAATTTCTAAGCAGCCTGGAAACTCAGGTCAAGTATCTTACTCTTCAGGAAATCTACATTGTCTCCATGTCCAAGTGAGAGGTCCTTCTCTCTACACCAATGGCATGCTGTGTTCAGCTCTGCTGTAGTACTTAACGTACTGTATCATAATTTGAGGCTGATTTACTTACTGCATCAAATTCTGAATGTGAGCTCTTTTTTTTTTTTTTTTCTGAGATGGAGTTTCACTCTTGTCGCCTAGGCTGGAGTGCAATGGCGCGATCTCCAGCTCACAGCAACCTCCGCTCCTGGGTTCAAGCCATTCTCCTGCCCCAGCCTCCTGATTAGCTGGGAGTACAGACATGTGTCACCATGCCCGGCTAATTTTGTAGTTTAGTAGAGACAGGGTTTCTCCATGTTGGTCAGGGTGGTCTCAATCTCCCAACCTCAGGTGATCCACCCGCCTCAGCCTCCCAAAGTGCTGGATTACAGGTGTGAGCCACCGCGCCAGGCAATGAATGTGAGCTCCTTGAGGCCAATTTTGTATCCTTAGTTTCTTGCAGTGTACCTGAAATATCCTCATATTCACCATCATTACTAACATTTTCATCACTAGGATTTATTACAAAAAAAACAGTAACTTTCCTACTCAAAACACGGACATCAACACATTTCCTTATTCAATGCAAAGTTTTCTCACAGTAACTTCAAACACCACTCAATAATTTATCTAGACGTTAAGTATAATATCGTTAATTGATAAAAGTAATTTTGGTGCTTTTTAATACAGCAAATCTCTAGTGAGCAATAAAATCACTAGAGAGAATAAAATATGCAAACCCTTTTAATTTAACTGTAACTTCAGAGTCAAGTTAAATGTGGCGCTGCAGGGATAAGAGGCTGGTAAACTTTGGATGGATTATGGTTTATTTCATCATGGTATGTAACTTCATGAGGCACATTGATTCTCTCATTGCAGAAGAAGATGATGGTTTCTCATGCTTTTAGAAGTTAATGCCCTCTCATGGAGCCTCATCACCTATAACAGTGATTCTCATATGGCTGTATACTCCCTGCAGAGATGGAGGTGTTTAGATTACTAAATCAGCCATTAAACATGGGCCAAATGCCTGGGGTAACAATTCTATCTAAACATTTGCTGAAAGCAGATTATATTAAAATACCTATTAATCAACATAATTGGCCTCACATTTAATTTACATTTTAAAGAAGAAACATCAGACTTCAAAGAAATTGGCAACATTTGTCAGGTTGTTTGGTGCTGAGTTACCAGACTACCTAAAGTTATCTTTCCTCTGTCATTAGAAGCAATTCAGTGGAAAATATTGAGTATGCAGACCTATTGCAGAATATTTCAACTTCTCATCAAAGGATACCACAGTTTTCAAGGTATGGCCTCTGGCTACTTCCCAGTTTCAACTTTGTCACCAGCTCTTCACATATTATGTGTGCTTGGTCTCTGGAACTTACATTAAGCCCTTATGTACCAAATACCGGCAGGCTCATCCTTACCAACAAGCCAGCTGCACGCGCATGTGTGTTTTCATGGCCACGCCTCTAGGTATTTCCTGCTTGTCCCTGGATGTTTTATTCTGTCTTCAGAAAGCTGTGAATCTTCAATTCCATAGTGAAAACTTCACTTCCAAAAACTTGGCATCTTGAATATTTGAGCCGCATTTTTGCCTACATAGATTTTTTATTTTTATTTTCAGACCTACCACATTACAGACTTATACATGAGTCTCCAGAACTGTTCTCAGAGTTTCCTGCATTTATGTTTCCCCATCTTTCACTTTTTTGCTTTTGTCGGGGATTCTCCCCATCCCTTTTCCATTTCACAGGAAACTCCTACTTATTAAGGTGAGATTCTACACCAATGTTTCCCTTTCATGCTTTCTCCATACTCAGTGATCTTCGAATCTAAACTGGATTCCACAGCAGAATGGAACTCGCTTTTGCAATATTGGTATTTTCCTATGGCCCTCACCCAGTGGACTGTGCATTCTTAGCAGATGAAGACAACATCTCATTATTTTTGTGCTTTCAGGAACTAAGACAATGCTAGACACACAAATATCCACACACAAATGCACTGAAGAGAGAATCAGTGATGGTGTTAGTGTCAAGCATAATGTACCAAAAACACATACTGGACAGAATGGAAATCAACTGTAATTGTAGGATATTTGTTTAAATAGTGCCCCTGCTAAAATATATTTCAATATCTCCCTCTTGTGTTCAGTATAAAGTGTAAATCCCTCACGAGATACATTCTCCATATGTCCGCTAACACAGACATTCCTAAAGCTGGCTCCTTCCTGCTTCAATTGTCTTAAATCTTGCCAGTGGAGTTGTATGCTTTGACAAGATTTAACTACTTGCTATTTTAATTTTCAAAAAATCGCATTCTCTTCTAGTGATTCCCAGTATTTGCATAGACTGTATTGTCTCCTGGAAATGTCTTAGTTTTCGTCTTTACAAGGCTTAATTCTACTCATAAAATCCCTTCAGTGAAATCTCTATTCATATATTTTGTTCATTTTAAAACTGGATTTTTTTGTCTTATTATTATTGAGTTAAATAAGCTCATTTAGAATTCATTATAAATTCAGATGCAAGTCCTTTATCAAATATGTTTTACAAATGTTTTCTCCATTAGTCCTTTTATTTACTTCCCAGTATATTTTTTAGAATAAATATATATATATATATATATTTTATTTTATTATTATTATACTTTAAGTTTTACGGTACATGTGCACAATGTGCAGGTTAGTTACATATGTATACATGTGCCATGCTGGTGTGCTGCACTCATTAACTCGTCATTTAGCATTAGGTATATCTCCTAATGCTATCCCTCCCCCCTCCCCCCACCCCACAAAATATTTTTAATTTTGATAAAGTCCATGGTGGTTACTTTATTTCTGTTACAGTTTCCCCCACCCCCTCCAGTACCTAAAATACTGTTTGAAAACTGTTTGATACATAGTAGATACGCAATACATAATACAAATACTTTGAAAACTAAACAGTATAGTAAAGTTAGTATATTCAGCCTCACCAACGCTTATATCCGAAAGAACTACTGTTGGAACACAGGTGTGCATTTCTATAGGAATAAACTTTGCATTTCCTCTAAAGCAGAGATTTCATGTCCTTTTCAGTTTCCACAATTTTACAACCTAAAACACTGTCCAAGATGATTTTGACCTGGAAACATTTAAAAACAGGTGTTGAAGCCTGCTTCCTACTCTCACCCATGGGGATGAATGTCTGCTGAAGACAGTGGTTGGCCTTTAGAGCAAATCAACATATCAGCAACACAATTAGACTCTCTTTCTGGAATTTATTAGGTATAACGGCATATTTGTCTATTGAGAATGCTTGTCTTTCACATACTGAAACCTGGGTTCAGTAGATGCTATTTATTTGTATCTTTTCCTACAGCAGGAAAATGTTGAGAAAGGCAATTAGAGGTATTTTCAGATAAGTGGAAGACATTCTAGACCCAGAGAACAGCCAACAATCAAAAATTGGAAAGACTGGCCTGGCGCCATGGTTCACGCCTGTAATCTCAGCACTTTGGGAGATTGGTGGATGGATCACTTGAGGTCAGGAGTTTGAGACCAGGCTGGCCAACATGCTGAAATCCTGTCTTTACTAAAAATACAAAAATTAGCTAGGCATGGTGGCGGGCACCTTTAATCCCAGATACTTGGGAGGCTGAGGCAGGAGAATAGCTTGAACCTGGGAGGCGGAGATTGCAATGAGCCGAGATTGTGCCACTGCACTCCAGCCTAGGCAACTGAGCAAGACCGTATCTCAAAATAAATAAGTAAATAAATAAATAAATAAATAAATAAATAAATAAAAAAGGAAAGTTTGTAGAAAGGGTAAGATATAGGAACAACGAAGTATAATGATTAAAGTGATGTAAGTAGTTGAAGAATGAGGTTAAATCCGATAGTGACCACAGGTAACCAGGTGAAAGAACCCCGGCTCATATTAAAACTCATTTTTTAGGTGTAACTTTTAAAGAGGCTCTGAATTCTGTTTGTTAAAATGAGTTCCAAAATTTGTTAAAATGGCTTTATCCTTAACACATGTTTACAGTCTAGACGGTGAGTACTGGGAAGAATGAATCATGCCTGAAACTCAACTATGCCTCTAGAAATTACTCATATATTGTCACTCTGACATATAATTTGCATAACTTTCCATATAAGGTACCTTATAAGCTCTTGGGAAGAGCTGGTTAATATTCTCTAAATGAAACCATGAAGATTTTGTTACATATTTTTTTCTATTATCTATTCCTTTTCACCTTCCTCACTGCATTGACCCGGAGGCACTTACCCAAGGAAAGTGCCATGGGCAACACGGAGACTCAAGTGAATGCTGCTTAATGGCAAGACAAATCAATAAAAATTTTGCCGTAGCACATTGTGGACATTTATACAAGTTACTAGTTTCTTTTCTCAACTTTTGAGTATTGAGTTTACTTGACCTTTTACAGAAGGTTTATAGCCCCTGGCATCATATAATTTTATTAAAAGAGTCATAAGTCTATATTAATAATAATAATGACTCATTTATTAAATAAAAATATGATGAGTTGTGCTAATTGCTTCAATTGGATGATCCTATTAAGTCACCACCACCCAACTATGAGCAGGCACTTCCCTTTTCATTCTGTAAGGTGAGATAGGTATTGTAAACCAAAAATAAAATTTGAACCTCCTCTCACCTTCCTGCAACCACCTGAATGGACTTTCTCCTCGGCCACGCACTCTAAAATGTAACTTGAAAGACTGGTTCAGGCCATGACAGGAAATGAGGATTGGACGTGCCTCATTATACCTCTCCACCATTAACGTTAGTACAAACCTTAAGTCTGATAAGAAACATTTACGGGCTAACCTCTCTAAAGCCTGCTGCTTGGAGGTTTCATCTACATGATAAAACCTAGGTCTCCATAACTGATATTTTTACTGATAATAACTCTTTCAACCAACTGCCAGTCAGAACATGTTTATATCTACCTATGACCTGTAAGTCTCTTCTTCAAGTTGTCCCGCCCTTCCAGATGGAACCAATGTAAATCTTACACGTATTGATTGATGTATTAAGTCTCCTTAAAACGTATAAAAGCAACCTGTGCCCCCACCACGCTGGGCACATGTCATCCGGACCTCCTAAGGCTGTGCTGTGAGCACATCCCTAACCTTGGCAAAATCAACTTTCTAAATTGATTGAGACTTGTCTCAGGTACTTTTTTGGTTTACAACGTTCAACATCAAATGGTTAATATGTTGCTGAGCTGTGGTGTCTACATGAATCTGTCTGACTCTAGAACATGCTCTTAGTCTATCTGTCTCACCTTCCCAGGTATCATTTCTTCTAGCCTCATTACTCCCTAGGGAGGCCCAGGAAGGGGAGTAAATGACAAAGACCATAGGGTTTATCAGTGGCAGAACAGGAATCAGAGGCTCATCTGTTCAGTTCCATGACCATTGTCTTTCAACACTCTTTTCAGTTTCCTTTACATTGACATCATAAAGTATTGCATCACAGGGTTTCTGAGTACCACTACTTAACACTTAAGGTTGTACTCACTATGTGCCAATTCTCTAAGTCCTCCGCATGGGTGAAATTATTTAGTCTTTGCTACCAGCCTGTAGGTAGGTACTCTTATCACTACTGGCATTGCACAGGTGGGGATTTGAGGCATGCGATGGTTAAGCAATCTACCTAAGGGCACATAACTAGTGAATGGTAGATTTAGCATTGAATCCAGGCAGTCTGAATCTAGTAGATGCGCTTTTAATCATTTAGTTGGGATGCTTCTATTTCAACTTTAGCTAATAGGTGGTGGGACTGCTTCCGTCATACTATAATGTGAGGAGAAATAGGAAAGTCTGTTTAAGTGTCTTTCTCGTTTGATTTGCCACATCTTAAATATTTCCCATAAAGTGACTCAGATCTGAAGCAGAACAATCCTTCATCCAGGGAGACCAAAGAGGAAAGCACTGTGGTTGAAACCTGCTATTGCTACATACTAGCACTGGTGATCTTCAGCAACTAACTGGTGAGCTTCACCAATTGACTCGCTGAAGCTCAGTTTCTACAGAAGCAAAGATCTTGCTCTGCCTACTTCCCAGTTTTGTCTAGATGAGCAAATAAAAAATTGTTTAAATATACTTTAAATAAAAATATAAACATAAAAAGGCTATCATTTATCATTTATACTGTCATTTATATTGCTAAATTATTATATCAATTTAGCAGTATCAGTACCAATATGGTTGTTCAAGACACTAAGTACTCCTCTCAAAATGCAACTTGGTGTAGAACGTATTGTTTTACACAAATATAATCAGTTAAAGATCCATTAAGCACTTTGATATTTTATCTTCTTTTTCTTTCAATGAATTTTTTGAGAGCCTAAAGCATAAGATTGTTCACTTCTTAAGACCAACTTAACATTATTTAACAGATTGGGAACTTATACTATAACATTTAAATTCAGATAAGACATTGAGGACTAAACATGCTTTTTCTTCCAAAGGGAAGACTTTGTTTCCTTGTGAATATTGTCTTTATGTGCTGAGTACAGTATAGAGCACTTGGTAGAAGTTCAGTGGGTGTTTCTTGAATGGAATGAAATAAACATTCATCCAAAACACACAGTTTTTCTCCATGTGTTTATCATAAGAGCATTTACTATCACTAGAGAGGAAACCGGAGATGTATTTTAATATTATGTTCCAATTTCTAGAAACAAATTTGTGTCCAATTACTGTTTAAAT
The DNA here is from genome assembly GCF_000001405.40 of Homo sapiens. NCBI lineage: Eukaryota > Metazoa > Chordata > Mammalia > Primates > Hominidae > Homo > Homo sapiens. The sequence goes on along the minus strand of NC_000008.11, from coordinate 136,803,981 downwards.
TAAATTTCAATGTTTATGCCTCATGTTCTTCATGCTGATGGAACTATTGGATATGACTTGAATTAAACATGAAGGATGTCACTCCGTACTTTAAAAAGTCATTAGAGATTTAAAGGCCAGTTGTCTGGGGTGATTTTTGAAGTCTTTCCATCACTGGGAACTTTTTTCTGAAGTCAACATCAGCATTTTTCATGAGTTGTTGTTGGAGGGAGGAGAAAGCAAAATTTCAAACGCTGATGGTATTAGCCACACAGATTTTATTCCATCTTTTTCATTCCCTTAGCCTTGATTTATCAGTATTCTTGAGATTTCATTAGAGTTTTACTAGTTTGCTTCTGTCACAGAATAACTTTTGACTTTGTTAAATATAAATTAATACTTAAATTCAGGAGAAATAATGAAAATATTTTGACTTTGTCTTTCCATGTAAAAAATATAAAAAATGTGGCTGTCATGAAGTCATAATTTTCCCCAAATCTTTTACTTAGATGGTAGCGGGGCTGAACCGTAAAGTTACTGTTTTTTGGTTCCCAGTTAAGAGTTCATTTTACTACAACTAACCTTATTTTGGATGCCATGTTCATGTTTTCATGTACTATTAAAATATCTCAAACCTCTTCATCACATTAATTCACAAAGCAACTCCTGCAGGACACAAACATACACACACACACACACACACACAAACACACACACGCACTTAAACAACTTTTTACTTTAAAAGACATCTGCAAGTGTCCTTTGTGCCAAGGACTGCACAAAGTAAATAAAATGTTATCTCATTTAATTTGTATACAAAATAGTTGAGTGCATTGTGTTTTTTCTGATTTTATGAATGAGAATAAAGTTTTCTGATTTATGGCTGAATAAGATAAAATATCTTTCCAGTATCATGACTGGCAATTACAGACACAGTTACCAACTATGAAGTTTGTCACTGCATATGCTTCATACTGACTCTCTTTCCTACAATTCCTTATATGTCAGGGTGTTGCAGAGAAATCAGAATCCAGGGATTGTGTACTTTTGTCATATGACAGTTTGTCAAAGCATTTGGAGGTATAGGAGCTGGCTTCAGGAAGGAAAAATTCCAAAAGTCACCAATCACTGTGTTTTAAATATCTACATTAAATGGCTATAAAAGATATAACTAAGACCAAACTATCTACTTTTTATGGAGATGAATCCTGGCTCAAGTTAAGAAGTGCTTCCTGTTTAAGCATCAAGGGAATGAAACCAACTGTTAGGACACGCATTCCTTATTATCACAGGCTTTAGAGTCTTACAATGTGATTTACTTTCCCATTTGTTCCTTTTCTCCTTCCTATTTTCCTCTATTCCACAAAGCATTTCTGTAATGCATACTATGTGCTGAGCTGTGATTGTGATTGAGAATAAAGGCAAGAATTGCTTCACGTTTCTCAAAAATTATCAATTCAGTGGTGGGTACAGATCCACCAATAATTGCAACAAGATGTGGCACATGTAAAGATAAAGATGTACAGAGAAATTCAAGAACACATGTAGAAGAAGACTTCATGGAAGACGTAAAGTCAAAGCTAAGACTAAATGGGTTATTAGGGGTCATTCAGAGAAAGAAGAAACAACCAAGGAAGGTGGGAGTTCTGAGGAGAAGAAACGGACAGGGCAGTTGCAGCCACCTAGGATGCCTAATAATGTGTGAGAGGCAAGACAGAAAGGAAATTAACACAGAAGAAAATGCTAAACTGAAATATTCATATTTATGTATACCTATGAATTCTTTTTGCCTTTGCTGATTTTGTTAACCTTCTTAGAGCCCATGAGCTTCTTTTCAGGACTTCTTCAGTTGAGAGTCAAATTGCTGTTAATCAGCTGCTAAGAAGGATAGCCATTCTCCCAGAAGATGTAAAGAGAGCCAGGATGTGAGAAACAAGTTTCTTCTAAATTGAACATTAAATAGATGTATCTGATTTCTAAATTACTGATCATGTGTGCAAATTCATCAAGCAGAAGACGGAGCTGTTTATACTCTGTGTTCATTGGAATATCAGAAATTTCCTTGCAAAATAGCCTCATAAACTGCAAAATAATATAGGATATTTTACTATTCTCTGGCTGTATGGAAGAGCAAGAAAAGCTCAAGTGTTGAAGTCACCTAGTCCTTCTCAAACTGTGTCCCTTTGTGAATTATCTTTTCTTATCTTTCCTTTTCTCATAGGCAAATATGACAATAACATTCAACTTTTCAGATTAGCAGAAAATTCAACCAAATTCTTTTCTGTATAATGTCTCCCAAAGAATATTGATCCCCAATATTTTTAAGTATAAATATATATACTTAAACATAATAAAATATATTTTAAAAATTCTACTTTACCCAAAGAAAATAACAGAGAATATTAAAATATTAGAGTTAAAATATTTTTAGAGAACATTTAATCCTCCTGATGTATTCATTCATCCATTCATTATTTACCAATAAGTTCATTTGGTAAATATAATTGATTTCAAAGTGTTGGACACTGCATGTGCCCAAAGATACAACACAGGTTTCATATAGAGGACATCGCAAAAAGAGATAAATATTATTCAGTGCAAATATTATTCTTGTATGCCAAGGCATGGCACATAAAACAATGAGTAAGCCCCTGTGTTATCAGGTCAGCTGCTAGGTTTGGGGCAGGTGAGTTAGGACAAGTTTTATCTTCTATAAACAGAGGACTTCAAGCACCTTCAGTAATTAGGACTCCTATACCATGACAAAGCTTAATGGTAAGAGTGTTAGTTTAGACAAAAATAGTGACTGAAGTAGCAATTCCTTCTCTTCCTCCTGGAGGCCTGCTAAGGTGCCCTCTGTCCAAATATCTCGCTTCTCTCCCATCTTAGCCCCTTAATCTGAGGTTACAGTGCCAAGGCAGTAAGACTGAAGGTTCTGGAAGAATGGTCAGGATTCCTGGGTCTCTGTCCTTAATGTAACCTTACATAAATGGTAAGTCATCCATCTTCCTGAGTTCTTGTTGTTTTCACGTATTCAATTCTTCAAAAATAATTTGGTGTTCATGAAATACCTTATTTTACATTCCATTCAAACAAACAAAAAGACAGCTGCTTTTTTTTTATTCTAGTCCCTGTTAATATACACATTATTAGGTAAAGCATTCACTGATAATATTGTTTTTGTTGCTGGGGAATTTAATCAGCCATATGTTCCTGGGGGAACACTGGTTTTTAACAGAAGGATGTCTGTGAGCAGCAATGCTGTGCCAGATGATCTGAAAAAAGTATTCCAGTGGGTAGCCAGTCAGGTATTGAGCAGGACAAGAGAGCCCCTCCACCATCCTGCCCCCACTGTCATCACCACCCCCCCAACCCCCGCCACACACACCAGGAATGTTGGGCAACCATCAGGTGATGGTCAGGTGATTGTTAACCATTTCTCTAAAGTAATAATTGGCCCCAGCCGTGTCAGGGAAAGGTGGTCTCCTAATAGATAGAAAACACCACCTGAAACTGATCAGCAGCTTCCCAATAAGGTCCCGAAAGTTATGCCAACCTATAAAACCCAAGCCAAGAGGTCAAGCCGGGCACTTGGTTTCTCAAGTCTCCCACTTGGCCCTCTTCCAAGTTGTACTTTCCTTCTTTTTTTCTTCTTTCCTTTTCTTACTGTTCTAAAGCTTTTTAATAAACACATTCCTGCTCTGAATCTTGCCTTGAACTCTCCTGCTTTCTGCCCCTCGGTTGAATTCTTTCTTTTGAGAAGGCAAGAACTGAAGTTGCTGCAGACTGATACAGATTTACCCTGACACAGGGTAACTCAAATATCTTCCACCGCCAACAATCATCCTTTCATTTCACTCTTACAATAAATCTCTGTTGAGTATTAGAATCTTCATTTTATACATATGAACAGTAAAGACCAGAAGTATGGCCAGGCACAGTGGCTCACTCCTGTCATCCCAGCACTTTGGCAGGCCAAGGTGGGTGGATCACCTGAGGTCGGGAGTTCCAGACCAGCCTCACCAACATGGAGAAACCTCATCTCTAATAGAAATACAAAATTAGCCAGGCATGGTGGCACATGCCTGTAATCCTAGCTACTCAGGAGGCTGAGGCAGGAGTATCACTTGAACCCAGGAGGCAGAGGTTGCAGTGAGCTGAGATGGTGCCATTGCACTCCAGCCTGGGAAACAAAAGCGCATCTCCATCTCAAAAAAAAAAGACCAGAGGTATGTAAAACTCTCCCAAGACTAACAGAATTAGTAAAGGATGAAAAAAGGAGATTTATAACATGGTAGAGTGACTCCAAAAGTGTTTTTTTTTTTCTCTTCTGAAAGGCCCATGACAATGCAGCCACAAGGGCAGACTGACTGGCTTCAGCACGATCACTATGGCCAGTGTGCCTGCGGGGTGTCCCCACTTAAAGGTGTCTCTTTAAACTTGAAATGCTCACCTGGCAAAATAAATACTATCACAGGTTCTGTGAAACCCTCAGATTTTCATAAAACATCAGATGTCAGAAAGAGATGAGCAACAGAAGCAGTAATTACCACGAATTCTCTGAAACACTCTATCTCTTAATTAGCTACCATTTGAGGTAATAAAGTTATGTACCACTCAAAGTTATAGCTAAGTTCTTAGCAGATTTTCCTAAGCAGATTCTTACACTGGAAAATGAAAGAACACAAAAGAATAACCCAAGAAGAGAGCATTCTAATTAGTATATTGTGTCTTACAGTCTTCATGTAAAGTATTTTCAGAGACTGATTCCTCAAATTGACAATCTCTCTCTTTGTAGCAGTCACCTTCTGCAGATCTGGATCTGGTGTATACTTTGGTCTTCTCAAATTATTTTATTCTGTTCTCATTCTGGCATAGAGAAATTCATCTCTTTGAATATATCAAATGTGGTTAGGAGCTACCTGCATATCTCTTGAAGAGCATGTCACATGATGTCTCACTTATCAAATCCCGGATTTTAAGAATAGAGTGTCTGACAATTTCAACCTCTCTCCTTTTAGAGATGAGAAAACAGGTTCGGAGAAGACATGTGCCTCCACAAGATCTCAATCTTAGTGCCATCTGTGTGCTGCAGTGTGGACACACACGTCAGAGTACTTGGGTTATGTGTGTCGGGGGTCACCTAACATGCACCAGGCCCTTTACCAGAACAGGTTTTTGTTGTTGTTGTTGTTGTTGTTGTTTTCTAATTGTTAAATCATTATGGGTACATAATGATTACATATAATTATAAGTTATATGTGATGTTTTGATACAAGCATTCAATGTGCAATGATTAAATGGGGATAATTGGGGTATCTGTCACTTTAAGCATTTATCATTTCTTTGTTAGGTACATTCCAATTCTACTTTTCCAGCTATTTTAAACTATGTAACAAATGATAGTTAACTATAGCCAGCCTAATGTGCTACCAAATACTAGATATTATTCATTATATCTAACTGGATTTTTGCACCCATTAACCATACTCACTTTATCTCTGTCTTCCCACTACCCTTCCCAGTCTTTGGTAACCATCAATCTATTCTCTACCTCCATGAGTTTAATATTTTAAATTTTTAGCTCCCACATAGGAGTGAGAACAGGCAACATTTGTCCTTCTTTGTAGAAGGGTTTTTATACAATGTGATAATATAACCATAGAAATACATTATTCATGTAGTGGTGCAGAGTGAGAGTGGCATGTGAATAACTTTCTGAAAACCAGAGAAATGTTCACAGAACAAAATGAAGTTTGAACTGAGTCTTGAAAAATTAAACTCTTTAGTGCAGAAAAGGGTGAAGTACATCTCCAATAGAACTTTATGTGTAAAGGTAAAAATACTTGAAAAAGCTAGCTTGGAAGACCAGATAACTAGATGCAAATTACGAAGCTGTATTTAGCAATCCACAGCATGGTGCCTGGATTCAATAAATGTCTCCATTTCTCTCCCTTTTTCCTTTCTACATCTGAAACACAGGAAGACAAGAGAAAAAGGGAAAATACAATATGTGTCTCAAATATAACATTTACTTCCGCCAGAATTTCTAGGGCACCTCTCATGTTTTTATCGGAATTTGGGAAAATGTTGATCTTTGCCTGGCTTCACAAATGTGAATTCCACTGGGCGAAGGGGAACTTATGATGAAATCAACATGTGTTAGCCAGGCATGTGAGGTTCCATCGTTCATGCTTTCCCAGCCACACTTGGATCTCATGTCTTGATACCCCTATTCCAGCTCATCTATGTCCTAGGCCACACCCTGTCTAGACTGGTGGTTTACACTAAACAGCCAAGTCCTCTCACCTTACTGTTCTCTTGCACATACTGCTACCCCAAATAGTCTTACCCAAACCCTCTTTTCTCTGCTAAGCTAAATTCTGCCAATACTTAATATAGATGTCACCTCCCGTATTATTCTTTTAGAGCTGCCATGACAAAATATCAAGAACTGGGTGGCTTAAACACTATCACACAGTGCTTTAAAGTAACTGTGGTGGGTTTTATTGAATTAACTCTACTTCTATGAATTTTTTTCTATGATATTTGTATTAGTCTGTTTTCACACTGTTGTAAAGAACTACCTGAGACTAGGTAATTTATGAAGAAAAGGAGTATAACTGACTCACAGTTCCACAGGCTGTACAGGACACGTGGCTGGGAGACCTCAGACAACTTTCAGTCATGATGGAAGGCAAAGGAGAAGCAGGTAGATGTCTTAAATGGCTGGAAAAGGAAGAAGAGAGAGCAGTGGGTGATGCTACATACTTTTAAGCAACCACATGTCATGAAAACTCACTAACAAGAGAAAAACATGGGGAGATCCACCCCTATGATTCAATCACCTCCCACCAAGCCCTGCCCTCAACACATGGGGATTACAATTCAAGATGAGATTTGGGTGGGGACACAAAGCCAAACCATATCAATATTATAGTTTGTTTTAGAGGCTTTTACTTTAGATTATTAATATTTAGTGGAACATTACTTTTAACATAATATTAACTTATTGTCATTATTATTGCTATTTAAATATTATCTTTACTACTGGAATAAAATCTCCATGATGGTGGAGACAGTATCTACCATCTTTAATGATGAATCACTACACTCAACTAGTGTTTGGTATTTACTATGTACTTACAATAGTTTGGGGAACTAAGTATTGAGTAAATTATGTCTGTACAATTGAGAAGTCTTTGAAAGATTGTTATGTGAGAAAGAAAAAGATATGATTTAAGACTGGGGGTTGGAAGAACACTGAGGCAGCCTTGTTAAGGATGTTTTAAATTGGGGCAGAGAAACCAGAGACAGGTACAGGCTTAGAGTAAACATGCCTTCAATAAAAACCTCAACACTGAGTCTCAGCATTTCTGAGGATATATAATACTCAGATTATATAATATATCTCAGAAATCTGTAGGATCACAACGCACAAAAATAACAATAAATCAAATGCTGAGTGACACTGTAAAAAAACAAGGAAAATTTCAAATTTGAAAAATGATATGTGGCTCCTTCTCATTTCGCATACCTTATGGCAACTCACTCCTGCACACACTTGTATCAGGACAAGACCCAACACCAGGACCTCCTGGTGACTGAATAAAGGAATGCCCTAGAAAATGTTTTCAATGTGGTGGTGTGGTGTTTTCCTTTAGGGTCTGACCTTTAGGATGTAATTGATTAGTGACTCAATAAATTAACATGCTAATTATACTTCTTCATGTGTGTACTAAAAAAGTTATTTGAAGGACCGTATGTTGCACATGGAAACAAACACTTTCACATCTGTTAATTCAACGTTCCCAAAAATCTAATTTTGGGAATTTGACATTGCGGCAGGGACGATATGTTCATACTGACTTTCACTTTATTCCTTGAATACTCCATGTCCTCTCCTTCTACTTCTCTTTTTATTGTTCTTTCTCTTTGGAATCCTATTAATTATGGTCATCTCATGACTGACACTTCTCATGATTAAAGTTAAGGCAAAACTATTACCATTTCAGAGAGTTCTTCTTTTCCATCCAATCCTAGAGTACATTATTTCAATTCTCAATCATGGCCTAATCATTTTCAAATGACCTTATTTTATTTCTACATAGTAGGTAACACTAAAATTACCTTGCCCTTTTTATTTTTTGATTTGTTCTTTTTTATATCATGTCACTGGAATCTCAATGGAGTGAGAGACCTCTTCCTTTCATGTTTATCACTGTATCACAGGGTCAAGAACGGTGATTGTCACATTAAGGGTGCTCAATAAGTATTTCAGGTATAGATGAACAAGTGAGAACACAGCTCTGGAAAGCTAACTCGCACAGCTAATAGTTTGTAGAACTGAGACACAATATTCAGATTTTCTAATTCAAAGTTCAATGTTCATCTCACTGCTATCATCTACCAAACTTGGCTGTTAGTAGATTGTGCTATTAGTTTAGCAAATTGTTTTAAACAAGCAAATAAGCATATACATTCCATATATATGTTATATATATATAACACATATATGTTTTATACATATATAGCACATATATGTTATATATATATATATAAAACACATATATATGTTCAAAAAATGCACAGATCAAGTGCTAACTCTTTGATTATCAGGTTTGGACTCATTTGACAACTTCGAACACCCCTCTCCCAGCACTTTTATTTTCAGGAGAGGACCAGCAGAACGCACTTCTGAATTATGAAGTATGAGAGTGGTGAAAAATAAGATTCTTAAAATAAAATGAGAATCACTGTTTTGCAATTCAGGCTCTCTGTCTTTGTCGCTGCTTCTCACTTGCCTTTTTCTTACCTTCCTTCTCATGTCACCCAATATTGGGAGTTGGGTGTTTTGTGTTCTGAGATTTAAAAAAAAACTCTCCGTGATGGATGAAAGTCTATGCAGTGAAGCATGCTGTCAGACTTGAGCTATTTGTCACCAAACACTGACACTCATCTAGGCAAAGTTTTTGGTTCTGAGTCATGTCTTTGCTTCTGACAAAATGTCAGTGTTATTTGTCACCATCTGGTATTTATGCCACATCAGATTGTCACTGCTTGCCATGGGTCAGAACCACTGGGCAGGCAGGAGTCTTCACTGATTCTTTCAAATGATTCCCTAGAATAGCCCCTCAGCTTCACCCCACAGGTTCAAGTGAGATATTTATTAAACGTAAATATTTAGTAGACATCAATGGATAACAAGATTGGATTCGCCCCTGCCACTTTAAGAACTCGTGAGTCTACCACGTCCCCAGTATTGATCACAGTAGCTCTAATTGCTATTTCATTCCATTAAACCCATATGACACATAAAAATATGAGGTAGATTTCTTCAAAGATTCAATGAAGACTGGAAAATATAGAAAAATAGGGTCAGTCCAACACAGGTTTTATATGAGACACTGAGATCAACCTCCTAGGGAAAATCTCACTTCACTTAACGAAAGCGAGGACTTGGCCTGAAGACAATGGGTCAGAAGTGATTTTGAGTACACCAACTGTGGGCTGATGTAAGCTTCCTTCATTTTCAACCTTTATCACCAGGACTTTTAGCAATACCTTGAAATTAGAAAGTGACTAAAAACAGAAAAAAAATCTAGTTGATTGCGATACATACTGTAGTATTCACAGGTGAAATATTATTGAGAAGTGACAGCGTTGCTGGCAGCCCTCACAGCCTTCGCTCGCTCTCGGCGCCTCCTCGGCCTTTGCGCCCACTCTGGCCGCGCTTGAGGAGCCCTTCAGCCCGCCGCTGCACTGTGGGAGCCCCTTTCTGGGCTGGCCAAGGCCGGAGCTGACTCCCTCAGCTTGCAGGGAGGTGTGGAGGGAGAGGCGTAAGCGGGAACCGGGGCTGCGCGCGGCGCTTGCGGGTCAGCTGGAGTTCGGGTGGGCGTGGGCTTGGCGGGCCCCGCACTCGGAGCGGCCGGCCGGCCGGGGCAATGAGGGACTTAGCACCCGGGCCAGCGGCTGCGGAGGGTGTACTGGGTCCCCCAGCAGTGCTGGCCCACCGGCGCTGCGCTCGATTTCTCGCCTGGCCTTAGCTGCCTCCCTGCGGGGCAGGGCTGGGGACCTGCAGCCCGCCATGCCTGAGCCTCCGCCTCTCCTTGGGTTCCTGTACGGCCCGAGTCTCCCCGACAAGCCCCGCCCCCTGCTCCAGGGCGCCCAGTCCCATCGACCACTCAAGGGCTGAGTGCGGGCGCACTGCGCAGGACTGGCAGGCAGCTCCACCTGCTGACCGGTGCGGGATCCACTGGGTGAAGCCAGCTGGGCTCTTGACTCTGGTGGCGACTTGGAGAACGTTTATGTCTAGCTAAGGGATTGTAAATACACCAGTCGGCACTCTGTATCTAGCTCGTTTGTAAACACACCCATCAGCACCCTGTGTCTAGCTCAGGGTTTGTGAATGCACCAATAGACACTGTGTATCTAGCTACTCTAATCGGGACTTGGGGAACCTTTGTGTCCACACTCTGTATCTAGCTAATCTAGTGGGGAGGTGGAGAACCTTTGTGTCTAGCTCAGGGATTGTAAACGCACCAATCAGCGCCCTGTCAGACCGCTCGTCTCTCTGTAAAATGGACCAATCAGCAGGATGTGGGTGGGGCCAGATAAGAGAATAAAAGCAGGCTGCCAGAGCCGGCAGTGGCAACCATCGGGTCCCCTTTCACAGTGTGGAAGCTTTGTTCTTTGGTTCTTTGCAATGAAACTTGCTGCTGCTCACTCTTTGGGTCCACACTGCCTTTATGAGCTGTAACACTCACCACGAAGGTCTGCAGCTTCACTCCTGAAGCCAGCGAGACCACGAACCCACCGGGAGGAACGAACAACTCCAGACGTGCCGCCTTAAGAGCTGTAACGCTCAACTGCGAGGGTCCGCTGCTTCATTCTTGGAGTCAGTGAGACCAAGAACCCACCAATTCCAGACACGTTATGATGTCTAACATTTAATTTGAAATACTCCAGGAAATGGGAAAAAAATACTCCAGGGGACAGGAAAGTGGGAAGGGGATAGAGACAAGATTGGAAAAATGTTGATTTTGAGACTGTGTGGCAGGAACATGGGATTCATTGTACTGTTTTCTTATTTTGTGTTTATTTGAAATTTTCCAAGTTTTAAGTGCAGAAAACATTTATTCAAAAAAAAATACATAAATAGGCCTGGTGAAGTGGCTCATGCCTGTAATCTTAGTACTTTGGGAGGTCAAAGCAGGAAGATAGCTTGAGCCCAGGAGTTCAAGATCAGCCTGGGCAACCTAGGGAGACCCCATCTGTAACAAAATTTTTAAAATAAATAAATAAATAAATAAAAACAGCCAGGTGTGGTGGTGCATGCCTGTAGTCCCAGCCACTCTGGAGTCTGAGATAGGAGGATTGCTTGAGCTCTAGAGGTGGAGGCTGAGATGAGCTGTGATCATGATACTGCACTCTAGACTGGGTGACAGAGCTAGAACCTATCTCTAAATAAATGAGGGCACTTCACTCTCACTAAAGTCTTTATATCACTTGTACATTCTGTGGAGATTCACTAAAATATCTGTAGGAAAATCAAGCTAAATTTGGAAAGGCAAAGAATTTAAGAGCGTATTCAAGAGGCAGAACCTTTGTCCAGAAGTGGACTATAGCATGAGAGAGTGTAAAACAAGCCAAAAGAGCAAAGCATAAACACACTGAAAAAATCAGAAGGAATCCATCTGAAGGCTGGTTGGGCTTCCTCCTCTGCAGTTCTTTGGGCTCCCTCACCTTAAGGGTACGGATTGTTTCTGATGCAAGCATCAATTTTACTGAGGTGCTTTCTTAATTCATCTTTCTCACGCAATATATCACCAACTTCTTTCAGCAAATGGTATATCATTGCCATTTGTGTCTAAAGGGCCAGCCTATGTGTTTTACATTGTAGGTGTGCAAGGGGAGTATGTTGTTTTGCCATGCAAAATCAAAACAAAATGGAAACCCAAAGGCATACAAACTAAGACGTCCTTTGAAAACTTGCTGAATATTCCCCACTCAGGAGGTGAAGACATTTATTATCATTACCGCCTTGCAGTTGCCGAGTTTCTCCTGTTTTCCAAAGTCCTTTCACACATTGCACATCCATAGAACATTTGGGCTATTGCACATGGTGTGGGCTTGGAAATCATCAGACATTTGTTCAAATGAAACATTTTATCTTCTCCCTCAACTAAAAATCTCTTAATAGCTTTCCATTACTCTTCAAATAAAAAACAAAATTGTTGCTGTCGTGTATGAAGCCCAGCATGATTCCTTCTCTCTTGTCATTTCCAAATGTATCCACTGAAATGCTCCCCTCAGTCACAACGTGTCAGGAACACCAGCAGTTCTCAACTTTAGACCTGATGCATTATTTTCTTTCCAAAATTTATTCATGGCTTGGTTCCTTCTAACTCTCCCCTGCTCTCCTTCAATGCCACTTCTTCAGAGAATTCTTCAGCACCAATCTAAGGCAGGTCTCCTTCATTCTCCTTTCTCCAGTCACCCAATTTGTCTCACTAATCACATATCAAGATTTGTACTTATTATATTTATTTATTGACTGTCTCCTCAGTTGACAGTAGACCTCATGAGGGAAGAATACCTGATTGTCTTGTTTCTCACAGCAAACCCAGCTCCTAACACAGTGTCAGATACTTAAAATAAAGGCATGATTGCTACTCACTGAAATAAAAAAATGACAGAATGAAAACTGAATGAATAAAAACAGAGCTGCCATTTACTGGCTGTGTAACAATTATGGATAAGTTCCTTCGCATCTCTGAATCTTTTTATTTTGAAGAATGTCTTCTTGATTGTGTTTCACGTAAAGATTACTTAACACACCTGTGAGACCTGGTAGTTTTTATTGTTGCTATCACTGTGCTAAATATTCTTTTTCAGATCCATTTCCACTTCAGGCTAATGTGATTAAGTGCAATGTTTGTTTAAAAAAAATTCTGCTTGCTATTTTTACCATATGTTTATTAAAGCAGCCATTAATCCAAAAAATGTCCACTCATATCTTTTGATCTAAAATGTAACAAAAAATGAATTGCAGGCATTTCTAAACATGAATCTGTTGTGTTTAGAGGTGGGGTAGAGGAGGGATGGTAAAGTATCAGCGAAGTGTGTAGTAGTTGATAAGTTCTAAGTGAGCATACACAATACCAATAACTATATGTCTCTACCTCAATGTTTGTGTTGAAACTAAGAAGAGATCCCATTCTGTTATGTAGAAGGCACAAATAAAAATAGTTAAAAATGTAAAGTAGAATTTTGTTTTTACCAAAATCTTTTTAATCTGTAAAAGTTATGTCTACTTATTTTAACAAAAACATAAGAATTTATTTTGAAATAGAAAATGTAAATAATGCCCATCACAATATAAACTTTGAGAGGAAAAGAAACACTAAACCTCTCTTGTTCCATGCTGTGCCTGTATTTCCTAGTATGGTTTTTGGCACATTGTAGACAATCAATAAATACTTGTGGAATTTATTAAATAATATTACCTGGATAGATAATCAACATGCAGCAGAAGAGGTACTATAGAAACAAAGAGGGCACAAAAACACATGGTTAGTTGTGCTTCCCTGCCTCTCATTGGGTTATTGGCAAGAAAGTCCAAGGAGTGATCACAGAGGTTTTCAACAGGGCCATCAACACTTTGCAAAATGCTTACTAGGTAGGCTGTTGGCATATGCATTCATCTATCTATAGCACTATTTATAAAATATCTACTATGTATTGGACACTGTCCCAGCTTTTGGGCAAATATGGGCAGCATGATAGAGAGTCTTTGTGCTCTCAGTTTTGCAGTGATGACACATAAATGATAACTAGACTGCTGTTCATGACCTAACTCTACCAGATCATAACAATCTGTGACATGGACTATATTATTTAAACTCTCAGCTCAGTTTCTATGTGAAGATGGAGATAATGAAAACCTCTGTCTTAAAGACGTATTTTATATTCTTACTAGCACATTTCAAGGGCTTTAGTATGTACCTGTCCCTAATGCTCACAGTGATAATTGGGCACACCTCCCTGTTCTCACATGGAATTTCTTTCATACCCCCTCTTAACAGTCCTTATCTCTGTTTGATGCACTTACCTGTGTTTGTGTTCCCAGTAGTCTCCAGAGCAGGGCCATGTTACTCATGTTTGCACTGTTGGATTTATAGTTGATAAAACACGTTAGGTACTCAGAATATGCTTATTGAAAGAATAAAAGAGAACACACCATCTTAAAAATCCAAATGCTTGTTTCAAAGAGACTATGAATTAATACTAAAATAAGTTAGTTGACACTGTTGTAAAATGCTGATTAAACCAACAGAGCAAAGAGAACAAATTGTGATGACCTATGACTCCACACTCCAGCCAAACTGCAAAGGACAAACGATGTCTGTCTTCACATTTGATTTCAAAATTGCACCACCAAGTGCACGTCATTGTCTCTCCATTAAACCCAGCAGTATGACTCATTCTTTCAGCAGTTGTGCATGAGCTGAATTGATTTGAACTTGTTACTGACACTAACGCCAGTGGTGAAGTTTGAAATTTAGCAAATCTCCAATTGCATACATAGATTCACAATTATCATTTTTTTCTTTTTGAATACTCATGCATTTTCCGCTCCTGTTCAACACATTATCAACATAATTAGCAAATACAATAAAATATTTAAACCCACTAATTTGTTCTTTTCAATTCTGTAGAAAGTTAGCAAATCTTTGTAAGTATATGATGAATATAGAGTTTATACCAAAGAAAAAAAATCAGCTAAAGATGAACTTAGGAAGAATTTGAAAAGATGGAAAAATACATAATGGGTTCTTGTCTAGCTCAGCTGCTAGCATGAAGAAGTTTACCTAAATACCTGAGCATCAGTGCTGCTATCTGTCAAGTGGATCAAGTTTACTGAAAATTTCTTCCTAAGGGGGCTTGTTAAGTATGAAAACTACTCTTAAGAGTTCAGTGAGCCAGAAACCATCATCCAAAGGGGCCATGAATTAGACATTTGTAGATCTTTAGCGGGATAGTCAACCACTGTTTCTCTTAACACTTTTAAAACATAGAAAAGAAAATTTTCTGTGTGTTTGAATCATAGGTACGCGGAAAAAATTTTACACTTAAGGCTATAGTTCTGCAAGTTATATTTCATATTTCAAAAAATATTTATTTAAAATTCAATGTTTCATAAATATTGCTAGGGAAACGTTATTTTAGTGAACACCTTCCTACTGTTTTCATTTCTCCTTTTTTCCTATCATTTTTCCCTTCAAACTTCTCTTCCATATTTCTTTCTATCGTTACCTCCTGTATTAGTCCATTCTCACACTGCTATAAAGAACTGCCTGAGATTGGGTAATTTATTCAAAAAACAGGTTTAATTGACTCACAGTTCTGCATGGCTGCAGAGGCCTTAGAAAACTTACAAACATGATGGAAGGGAAAGTAGGCATGTCTTACATGGCAGCAGGCAAGAGGGTGTGTGAAGAAGGAACTGCCAAACACTTATAAAACCATCAGATCTTGTGACAGCTCACTATCATAAGAAAAGCATGGGGGAAATAGCACCATGATCTCATCACCTCCCATCAGGTTCCTCCCTCAACACGGGGGGATTATGGGCATTATAATTCCAGATGAGATTTGGGTGGGGACACAGAGCCAAACTGTATAAGCTCCCTCTCTTCCCTCCCTCCCTTTTCTCCTCCCTCCCTAATATTTGGATATTTAATATAAGTTACTTTTCCCATCTTTAAATTATAAATGAATATACCTTCCTTACAGTTTTCATATGAGGGTTAAATAAAACATGCAGAAAGTTGTAACACAATGTTTGATATTTAATGATACATCTCTGACAAGTTTTCATTTTCTTCCTCTCTTTAAATTTTTTCTTCTTTATATCACTCTCTTTCTCCTTTCCTTCCTCATCACCCCTCCCTATATCACTCCCACTCTCTTGATTTTTTTCTTTCTCTTTCAGAATTTCTTCCTAAATATTAATTGTTCTATTATTTGTCACCAACTAATCACTATTCAGTCATCAAGTAGAAGAGTGTAGTCGGAAACAAGCATTTAGTGAGCACAGCTATAGTTTTTTTTGTCTGTATTATTTATCTTTATTGATTAAACATTTATTATATATAAAATAATGTTTTATATATGTATAATGCATAAAGAATGATCAAAAGTGTCTAAGTATATCAACCTTCAATATTTAAGAAATAGAACATTATATTTAACTCTGAGGCTCATGCCTGACCTTTCTCAAGTTTATTTGCCTGATCTGCTAGTTTTATTTCTATATTTCCTGTGTTTTTATTATTTTACAATATGTGCAAAATTTATATTTGTTGATGCTTTTGAATTCTATATACAAGGAACATAAATATGTTTTATTCTGCAAGTTAATATTTTCACTCAACATTCTGTTGTTGATGTTGTATGTTGTTTAATTAATTCTCTTTTATATAGCATTCCATTGTAGGACTATTCCACAATTTATTTAAGCATATACTTGTGTTGGATACTTGGAATTTTTTCAACGATTTGTTTTATGTGAACATGCTTGAACATTTTTTTTCTGGGATATAGGGCCAAGAATGTCCCTAAGTGTCTCAGTAGTTGAAATGCTGTTCATAGGATTTGCTTCTGCAATGTGACTAGATAATACAAATATATTTTGTAGAGTTTTTGAAGCAATTTTCATTCCTATTAGCACTATATAAGTATTTTTTTCTCTATATCCTAACAGTCGTTTGGACTTACAAATTCTTGTCAAGCTGTGGGTGGCGAATTATGCCTCATTGCAGTTGAAACTTTTCTAATGAGATAGAGCCTCTTGCTTTTCCATATGTTTATTGCCACCCTTGTTTTCTCTTGTTAAGGGATCTACTAAATTTATTAATTCTTTTTGAAAATCAGGTTTCTTATCATTTTATTTTTGAATTTTAGAAATTCTTTATGCATCCTGGATCCTAATACTTTTCCAATATATTTGTAACAAATATCTTATTGTTCTCTATGGTTTTGCCTCATTGGATTTTACCCAAATACCTCCCCAACCTCCAAGTGTCTCTTTCAGTGTTTTATAACATGTTCTATCAGAATGCTTCTGCACAGAGGATGAGGTATAAAGCTTTTTGTTTTTCTCTAGGTGGTGACCTAGTTATTACTGGTATTCAGGTTAGCTTCATGTTACCTTTCATGACCTTCTGCATAACTTCAGGCTCTATAAAGTTGATTTAAGAATCTAACTTCTTTTTTATAAATTTTATTTATCTTTTTAAAAATTGACAAATAATAACTGTCCATTGTTATGGAGTATATAGTGATGTTGCCATGCATATAATGTTAATAGTAATCACATCAGGGTAATTAGCATATTTCCTTCATCTTAATCATGTATCATTTATTTGTGTTGGAAACATTTAATATTCTCCTTCTAGCTATCTGAAACTGTATGATATATTGTTAACTATATCATACTACAGTGGTATAGAACACTAGAACATAGCCCTTCTATCTAGCTGTAATTTTGTATCATTTAACAAGTCTCTCCCTATCCTCCTCTTCCTCCGTCTCAAACTCAAACTTATCCTCTTCTCATTTTTCTTGTATTAGGTAAACAGCTTTTTAGCTTACACATATGATTGAAAATATGCATTGTTTAACTGTCTGCTCCTGGCTTCTTTCACTTAATGAAATGTCCTTCAGTTCTATCCATGTTGCCATGAATGACAAGATTTCATTCTTTCTATGGCCGAACAGTGTTGCATTGTGCATGTATACCATGTTATTTTTATTCATTCATCTTTTGTTGGACAAATGTCTTTTGACAAATGTCTGTTCAGAAAACATATTCATTTTTAAATTGTTTGTTTATTTTGCTGTTGAAATGTTTGAATTCTTTATATCTTCTGGATAATAATCCCCTGCCAAATGAATAGTTTGCAAACATGTTCTCTCAATTCAGTAGTTTGTTGCTTCACTCTGTTGTTTCCTTTGCTGGGCAGACGCTTTTTAGTTGAATATAATACCATTTGCATAATTTTGCTTTCATTGCCTGTGCTTTTGAGGTCTCATTCATAAAATCTTCTTTCAGACTGATGTCCTAAAACATTTCCTCTATGTTTTCTTCTAGTAGTTTGATAGTGTTGGGTCTTACCTTTAGGTCTTTGATCCACTTTGGTTTGATTTTTATATAAGGTGAGAGGTACAGTTTAGTTTGTTTATCTGTATATGAATATCCAGTTTTAATGGTACCATTTATTGAAAGAGGGTGTCATTTTTTTGCAATAAACAGTTTTGGCACCTTTGTAAAAAATCAGTCTAGCTATATAGAGAAGTGGATTAATTTCTGTGTTCTGTATTGTGTTCCATTGGTCTATGTGTCTGTTTTTATACTGGTACCATGCTGTTTTGGTTACTACAGTTTTGTAGTACAGTTAAAAGTCTGTTAGTGTGATGCCTCGAGCTTGTTCTTTTTGCTCATTAGTGCTTTGGTTATTCAAGGATTTTGTGGTTCCATACAAGTTCTAAGTTTTTCGTTTCCTATTTCTATGAAGAATATCATTGGTCTTTAGAAAGGGACTGCATTGAACCTGTAGATTTCTTTCAGTGGTATTTTTATTTTAACTATATTAATTCTTCAGATCCATGAGCATGGGATGTCTTCCAATTTGTCTGTGTCCTTTTCAATTTCTTTTTGATAGCGTTTTGTGGTTTTCCTTGTAGATGCCTTTCACCTACTTTATTGCACTTATTCCTAGGCATTTATATTTTTGTAGCTATTATAAACAGAATTTCTTTTTAATTTGCTTTTCAGCTATTTACTGTTCATGTATAGAACCACTACTGATTTTTATGTTGATTTTGTATGCTGTAAATTTATTGTATTTATTTATCAGTTTTAAAGATTTTGGTACAGTATTTAGGGTTTCTCATATATAAGATTATGTCGACTCCAGCTAGTGACAATTTGACTTCCTCCTTTCCAATTTGGATGCCCTTTATTTCTTTCTCTTGCCTAATTTCTTTGGCTAGGAATTCTAGGACCAATTGAATAGGAGTTTTGGGAGTTGGCACCCTTGCCACATTCCAGTTCTTAGAAGGAAAACTTTCAGACTTTCCCCATTCTGTATGATATTAGCTTTAGGTTTATCAAATATGACCTTTATTATGTTGAGTTACTTTCCTTATATTCCAAATTTATTGCAAGTTTTAATCAGAAAGTGGTGTCAAATTTTAATTTTTTGCATCTATTAAGATGATCATAAGTTTTTTGTCCTTCATTCTGTTGATATAATGTATTTATTGATTTGCATATTTTGAACCATTCTTGAATTTTTGGGATAAACCTACCTTGATCATGATGTGTTATCTTTTTTATATATCGTTGGAATCAGTTCGTTTGTATTTTTTTGAGGATTTTTTACTCTGTTCACCAGAGATGTTGACCTGTAGTTTTCTTTTTGTTGTTGTGTCTTTGGTTTTGATATCAAGGTTATGCTGGCCTCACAGAATGAGTTTGGAAGATTTCCCTTTACTTCAATGTTTTGAAATAGTTTGAGAATAATTGGTATTCATTCTTCTTTAGGGGTTCAGTAGAATTTAGTAGTAAAGCCATTTGGCCCTGGACTGTTTTTATTGGAAGATTTTTATTACTGATTCAACCTAATTATTTGTTATTTGTTTGTTCAGGTATTCTATTTTTTTCTTGGTCCCATCTCGGTAGGTTTTATGTGTTTCCTCTAGGTTTTTGAATTATTTGGCATATAGTTGTTCATACTAGTCTCTATTGATCCTTTGTACTTGTGTGGTATCCACTGTGATGTTGCCTTTATTATTTCTGATTTTATTTATTTGGGTCTTCTTTTTTTATTAATCTAGTTAATGGTTTGTCATTTTTTATCTTTTAAAGAAAACAACTTTTGTTTTGTTCACTTTTTGTATTTTTTTAGTCTCATTTTAGTTTATTTCTAGTCTTTCTACTCATTTTGGGTTTGGCTTTTCTTGCTTTTATAGTTCTTTGTGATGCATCATTAAGTTTGTTATTAGAAATGTTTCTAGTTTTTTCACATAGGCATGAAACATCATAAACTTGTCTCTTCCTATTACTTTGCCTGTGTCCCATAAGTTTTGATATGCTGCATTTCTATTTTTGTTTTAAGATTTTTTAAAATTTGTTTTTTAATTTCTTCCTTCATCCATTGGTCATTCAGGGGCATGTTGTTTAATTTCAATGCTGCATTAGTTCATTCTCTCATTGCTCTAAAGAAATAGTTGAAACATGGTAATTTGTAAAGAAAAGTGGTTTAATTGACTTATGGTTCCACACACTGTACAAAAAGCAGCATGAAGCTGGCATCTGCTTCGGGCAGGCCTCAGGAAACCAGCAATCATGGAAGAAGGTGAAGAGGAAGCAGGCACATCTTACATGGCTGAAGCTGGAGAAACAGAGTGAGGGCAGGAGGTGCTACACACTCTTAAACAAATAGATCTCATGAGAACTCTATCATGAGAACAACACTAGGGGAAAGGTGCTAAACCATTCATGAAGACTCTGCCCTCATGATTCAGTGACTTCCCACTAAGCCCCACTTCCAATATTGGGAATTACAACTTGACATGAGATTTGGATGGAGACACAGATCTACACCATGCCATACATATTTGTATAATTTTGAATGTTCATCTTGTTATTGATTTCTAGTTTTATTTCACTATGATACAAAATAAGATACTTAATATGAGTTCAATTTTTTCAAATGT
This sequence comes from Homo sapiens, assembly GCF_000001405.40. Classification (NCBI taxonomy): domain Eukaryota; kingdom Metazoa; phylum Chordata; class Mammalia; order Primates; family Hominidae; genus Homo; species Homo sapiens. Next base: position 136,783,215 of record NC_000008.11, on the reverse strand, counting down.
TTTGACGGTTTTTTGTGTCCTTATATATGGTCAATCCTAGAGATGTTCCATCTGCTGATGAATGTGTACTCTGCAGCTATTGGGTAAAATGTTCTATAAATGATTGTTAGGTCCATTTGATTCATTTATTATTTTATTGGGTTCTATCTTTTTCTTTACATCTAATAATATTTGCTTCATATATCTGGGTGTTCTTGTGTAATGTACGTATTTATTTACAATTGTTATAGTCTCTTGCTGAATTGACCCCTTCATTATTACACAATGTTACTCTTTTTTTATACATTTTGACTCGAAGTCTGTTTTGTTTAATATAAGTATAGTTACTTCTCCTAAGTTATGGATTTTTACTTGTATGAATATCTTTTTCTTCCTTTCATATTCAATCTATGTGCATTTTTACAAGCAAGGTGAGTTTCTTGTGGGCAACATAGAATTGGGTCTTGTTATTTTTTTCCATTCAGCCAGTCAATAGCATAAATAGAGAATTTAATTAATTTACATTGAAATATGTTACAAATAGGTGAAGACTTACTCATGTCATTTTATTAATTATTTTCTGGTTGTTTTGTATATTCATTGTTCCTTATTTCTGTTCTTATTGTTTAGTTTTGCAGTTGGCTGGTTTTCTGTAGTGATAGTTTTGATTCTTATTTCTCCCATTTGTATTGACTATACCAATAAATTTTATAATTTCACATGTTTTCATGATGGTTGATATTGTCTTTTCACTTCCAGATCTAAGAGTCTCTCAAATATTTCTCTTAAGGCTAGTCTAGTGGTGATTAATTCTCTTAGTTTTTTTTTTTTTTCTCTGTGAAATATTTTATTGATCCTTCATTTCTGAATAGCTTAGCTGGGTATAATATTTTTGGCTGGCAGTTTTTTAAAAATTTTTTTTCAGTACTTTGAATACATCATCCCATTTTCTCCTGGCTACAAGATTTCAACTGAGAAATCCACTGTTCATTTAATGGAGATTACATTATATGTAACTTGATGCTTCTCTCTTGCTTTTTTTTTTTCCTAAGAATTCCTTCTTTGCCTTTGACTTTTGACAATTTGTCTCTAAAATGCCTTGAAGAAGACCTGTTTGGATTGGTTCTACTTGAGACTCTTTGAGCTTCCTGAATGTAGATATCCATGTTTCTCTGATGACTTGGGAAGTTTTTTAGCTATTTCATAAAATATATTTTCCTCCCTTTTTCCTTATATTCTCCTTCTGGGTTGACCATACTGTCAATATCTGTTCACTTAATGGTATCCCATAAATCCTGTTTTCTTTCTTTCTTTCTTTCTTTCTTTCTTTCTTTCTTTCTTTCTTTCTTTCTTTCTTTCCTTTCTTTCTTTTCTTCTCTTTTCTTTATCTTTCTTGTTTCCTTTCTTTTCGCTTTTCTTTTTAATTTTATTCTCTGCTTATGTTATTTTTAAAAACCTGTATTTGAGTTCAAAAGTATTTATTTTGCTTGGTCTCATCTCTTGTTGAAGCTGTTGATTGTGTTTTTTTATTTATTCATTAAAATATTCAGCTGTAGAATTTCTGTATTTTTTATAATATTTCTTTATTAAATTCCTTATTCAAATAATAAATTTTTCCTGGTATTGTTGATTCGTCTATTTGGATTATTTCATATCTCTTTGAGTTGCCTTAAGATTATTACTTTGAATTCTTTTTCTATCATTTTGTATATTTCCTTATGATTAGCATCTGCTACTAAAAAAACAATTGTGTATTTTTGGAGATGTCACGTTTTTATGTTTGTTGTGTCCATATTTTGATTTCTATGAATCTATTTGGACAGTTGCTACTTTCAATTTTATAAATAAGTTTAATAGGAAAATACGTTCAAATAGATATGTCTTGGGGTGTCAATTCAGTGGAATGCATTGGCTTTGGTTCTAAGTGGACACAATAGTGTAGCATTTGTGTAGTTTCCTCAGCTGTAATCCATGCCAGTGAGGTTTGCAAGTATCTCAGTGGTCTAGACTAAAGAAGATTATGATGGTACGGTATGATTATATCAGGGTTAGACTCACCAGGCTGTTTTTCAGTTCAGAGGCACATGCATGCACATGGTGGATCAGCCAACTTGGGGTCTGGCTGGCTGGGGGTGGGGCTATGAAGCTATTACTCTGGCTAGGAGCATGGGTGCACAGTTGGTCGACCACTCTGGGGGCATTTCTGCCAGCAGTGGTCCATGGAAGTGGTCTTCAAACTCTGGATATGAGTGCAAGCCTGTTCTGCTGGCATCAGAGTGTGTCTTCCAGGGGTCCAGTGCCTTTACTTGGTCTGTATAAAACTTTGAGTCCTTCAATCAACTCCACATATATATAGACAGAGATCTGATATTATTACCTTGTCTAAAAAATAAATAAGAAGAACACTATTAAGAAAGACTTGGGAGGTAGAAGATAGGACAGAGGAAGGGGGTAAAAAGAAAACCTACAAATATACCCCTGTAGAGTACAATGTAATACTCATTTGAATTAGAAATCACAGTGAGTTATATGAGCTCTTCAAATGCAAGTTAACTCGAGTTAATTCTGTGGTTACTGGCACCTACTTACATCAAGACACTTACAGCCTGCAAATACCTCTGTAAGTCTCTAACACAGACCTTAAAATTACTTTACCATTGACGTTTTTAGCTTTGGAATGAAATAAACAAATATGACCTGGAAAAGGTTCTGGAAAGCTAGGTAAAGTTTGAGAACTACCCTTTTTTTTTATTTTTCAAAGAGTTTCTATGTATTTCTTGGCATATGCCATTTGATTGATTGTTGTTTTGCAACCTTTTCAGGTAATTTTCTTGTCCCTGTGTGTTTTAGTGACTGTGCGGTCTTGCTTTGTCATTTAAAGGTGAACCGATTCAGCATGGATCTAATTTGTGTTCATTTACTTCAGCTCCATAAATAGTCTTTTGTTCACTTACGCATGAGGCATATTTCTTATAGGACCGACTTTCAGTTCTAAAACAATAAACTTATTGATCATTACATAGAAACATGTAATGAGATTTGTACACTTCAGTAGATTGTGACTTATGTTACACTATTTTTGTTACTATATATGAGATTTCTAAAGCACTGATTGTGACTTTTTCCACCTGTTGGGTGTCTAACCATGTAGGCAATATAGCCTTTAAGAAAATGATGAGAAATAAGTGGGAGAAGATCATTTGCATATTTATTTAGAAATTATGGGCCTGTAATCCCAGCACTTTGGAAGGCCGAGGCAGGTGGATCAAGTGAGGTCAGGGGTTTGTGACCAGCCTGGGTAACATGGTGAAACCCCATCTCTACTGAAAATAAAAAATTAGCTGGGTATGGCAGCACATGCTGTGATCCCAGCTACTTGGGAGACTGTGGCAGGAGAATCACTTGAACCTGAGAGGAGGTGGTTGCGCCGCTGCACTCCAGCCTGGACAACAAGAGCAAAACTCCATCTCACAAAAAAAAAAAAAAGAAAAAGGAAAGAAATTATGAAAGATGAGAGCAAAACTCCATCTCAAAAAAAAAAGAAATTATGAAAGATGAGGTAACATAACAAAAAATGATACTGACTGAAATAGAAAATACAATACCGTTGTACTTTCTAAAAATGGGTAAGGGTCATGGTATATTAAAAACATCACGAAATGTGACCCAAAGTACATTACAAACATAGCATAAAATAATTTAAAATAATTTCCAATTATGGGTACCATACAATCATTTATTCATTCACATATTTTTAAACACACGTGTTATTCTGTGAAATAATAGATAACATCCTGCAGGAGTGAAGCAAGTAGGGTATTTGAATTCAGACAGTTCTAAGTTCAGGTCCTTACTCTACACACCACTATTACCCATGTGACCTTAGGAGAGTATCTAGCCATTGCTATTCTCAGTTAATCCCTTTGCAAAACAAGATTATTTATTAGAATTGTCATGACAATTAAATGAAATACTGGATGAAAGAAATTGAGCACAGTGAACAATGTTTAAAATTAGTTTCATGTCTCTTCTTCAAGGAGCGCTCTTGGGTCTGAGTTTTGAAGAGTAGGGCAAGAAAAGAAAATAGATATTCTTCCCTGATGTACAGTCTAAAAGTGCACAGTCTAAAAGTCAAAATAAGCTACATGTACATGGCATGTGGTCATGTGTGCATATGTGTGAAGTTATATGTTCTACAAATAGGTGAAGATAAAGGGCCATAGAACTTTATTAAAGGGAGATAATTGGAAGCTAAAAGAAAAATGTAATTTGACTCTGAGATATTCAATTTCAAATTCTGAGAACCATTCTAGATTCTCACTTCTTTGCAATTGTTTGTTCATCTCATGTCTAATGAGTCCATAATTTCTGAGGAGCATTCCAAAGAAGTGCCCTCCCCTCTATCTACCTTTCCCCCATCCAGATCCTGTTTCCTCACATTGAGATGGTCTAGTGCTTTTACTTTGTCTATATAAAACCTTGACTCCTTAAATAAACTGCATATATGGATAGAGATCTGATATTATTACCTTGCCTAAAAAACAAATAACAAGAAAACTATTAAGAAAGACTTAGGAGGTAAAATATCTGACAGGGAAAAGGGGAAAAAGGAGACCTACAAATATGCCTCTGTAAAAGTACAATGTAATACTCAATTGAATTACAAATCACAGTGAGTTATATGACCTGGTAGAAGTAATTGCATTAAGCAACCGTATTACTTCAATAATAAAATAAGTCCATTGAAACAGATTATTTTCTAGAGTAATTATTTAACTAATTTAAAAGTGGCAGTAGGATGAATGTTCCAATATTTGCATTTTATTTTCTCCTCACTGTATTCAGCCAAAAAATGCTGTTCTTGATAATTGCACTTCTTTACTTTTAGAGAGAAGTCTCACTTGTTTTTCTAAAGTGTTTTAACATCTATGTTTTTATTTAATCTGCATAGGAAGATCTCATTTTGATGTACTCCTATGAAAATTCCTTATTTATTTTGGCTTTTCCTGGATCCCTCAGTCATCCTAGGTCAACTGTCACGTCTCCCAGAGCACCAGTGCGTAGCCATTCTTGGCTTTCATTGAGCCTGCAATGATTTTTAAAACACCAGTGTGATGAATGGGACACGGTCTGCATCTTTCTTGCTCACTGCAGGATCTGCTGCAGCAAGTCTGGTGTATGGAGCATCATCAGTGCTCAGAGTCTCTGCTGAATAGGCAACAAAGTGAACCAACAAGGGTGTTGCTCCTATCTGCATTTTTAAATTGAGGACAATGTGTCCCACTGAGGTTGTTAATGAAGCCACTTCACTCTTTTCCTAAGTAGCAGGTGCTAGTTTTAAACACATCCCGTAACTGATCCAACAAAACCTTGACTTGGTACATCCTTAGGCAAGTTGATTAACCTGCGCAGAGCTCACCTTCTTCATACAGAAGGCAATTCCAGATGCTTAAGAGGGTGCACTCTGAACTGCAGTACCTAGGTCCAAATCCCATGTCTGCCATTTACTACATGTGTGATCCTGGATAAGTCGTTTAATCTTTACCTCCATTTTTTTATTTGTAAACTATGGATAGTAAAACTGCCTATTTATTGGGTCTTTGTGAGGACTAAATGAGCTGATACACAAATAACACTAGATGACTGTATCAGCTATGTCTTATTATTGCTGGTTTAGTTATTGTTTTTATTGTTATTATATAAATGAGATATTTTGCTTCTCTAGATACTATTCAATGAAACAACATATTATAAGTAAAATATGTAGCATAGTGCCTGGTGCCAAATGAGAAAATCATCTTAGACATTATTATTAGCACAGAGTAGTAGGATTATCAGCAGTAGCCTTATGATCTAAACTTATCATTTTCTAGATGTGAACCGATCATGAATAGTACAGGAAAAATTTATAGAAGTATTCATAATTGACACTGACTTTACCAGTACTGACTGCATTACAGTTTTATGCACCCAGAGATAGAGAATTCAAAAGCAGTTGAGGTAATGAATACTGTAGTCTGGCTGCTGGGGTCTTCATCCCATCTGTGCCACTTGCCCACTATTGGGGCTTGGAAGGGTCCTTCCGTGTCTATTTTTGGAAGGATAATAACAATACTTGCCTGTAAGTGTTGTTGTGAGGACCAAACGAGATAATATGTGCAAAAAAAGAATGAACACACTAGAATTTAGTATGCATTCAATAAACGTTAGGTAGTACTGTTATTTGATTCTCATAACTTTCATAATGGTCTTTAGTATTTCATACTAAAATCTCCATTGTAGAGCTATGCAAGCTGAAATATGGAGGGCAAATTACTTTCCCAAGTTACATCGAAATTCAGTGCCAAAATTAGTCTTTGATCCAGGGCAGTCTGACTCTGGAGTTCGTAGTCTTATTCAGTCTGTGATAGAGCCTCCTCTAGAAAGACAGGCCAGGTTTCAGATGCATGGGTGGGGTGTATGCCTGCCATAGTACTTGGCCACAATACCTCTCCATATGACCCTGATGTCTGCTTACCCAACTCCTCTAGAATGGAGTCTGTGACTATAATGTTCTCAGTATGTGGAGTTTTCAGAATAGCTCTCTCATAGGTAATTATATAAATGTTATATATGTGTTTGTGTGTGTGTATGTATGTTTGTATGCCTGTGTGTGTATATATATATTTATATATATTTTGTAATGTATATATATATTTGTATATATTTGTAATGTGTGTGTATATATATTTTGTAATGTATATATAATTTTTAATGTATATATTTGTGTATATATAACACATACACACACACATATGTGTATACACACACACATATATATGTATATTTTTCCAGATGATTATTTGCCAATACAGAATAACACTGTCAGAAAATAGGTAGTGATTTCTTTTTTAATCTTGAAAATGTAGCAGCTAATTTTAACTGCTTATACCTTTAGTACGGCCCTGCCTTCAGTAACATCTCCCTTTGTTCCCTGTCCTATCCTCCAGAGCAAGGTGGTCATGTATATATTGCCCGTTCATTCACCTAACTGTGTGTACACTACCTATCAGATGCTTCTACATGCTGGGATATAAAGACACACATAATATACAGTCCTCTCTGCGGGACTCAGGAGGGACATCCTCACATGAATAGGAGCCTGAGGAGATAAAGGCGTGTCTTGAAGAAGGCAGTATTATTTTCTATGGTCCCCCTCTAGAAATGATGAACATGTTCATTTTAGTCATATTGCTCCTTAGTCCCTGTTTTATTTGACTTACATTTTAAGAGGGGAGATATTAGATGATACTGTGTATGTTAACATAAGACATAAACTATGTAGAAGACAGTGGAGATAAAATGAAAATAGGATCTAGTCTATGGGAAAAAAAAGACTTTAGATGTTATATTTTTCCACTCTCTTTCCCTGCCTTCCCCCTCCCTCAACTTTAAAACCAGGTGGCAGCAAATAATCTTTAATGATGACCATAATAATATTAAAGCGTAAAGAAGTTAGTCCCAGAAACATGGATTAATAATGAAATATTGACTGTTTAAAGTAGATTATGATTTACAAAGTACTTCCAATGCATTTGTCCTGTGTAGCAAGGGAATAGAAAAAGAAAGAACTTTTTTTTATTGATGATGATGATCCAGGATGATCATGATCCCACTCATGAATTGTGTATTTTAGGTCCTTTCTCAACGACCCCTTGTCGTTTTTGGGAGAATTCAGGTCTTTGTAGCTGTAGGACGTAGGTACCTAATTTGTTGCTGGTTGTCAGTCTGGGGCTATTCTCAACTACTAAACCCATACAGTTCCTTGTTCTGTGGCTTTCTTAGAGGCCCACTCACAGCATGGCTTCAGAGACATTAGGGGAAAGTCCAGACCCTCTTTTAAGGGCTCACTTGACTAGATCAGCCACACCTAAGATACTCTCCCTTTACAGTAAGTCAAGTCAACTGTTTAGGGGCCTTCGTTACTTTTTCAAAATTCCCTTCCTTTTATCCTGTAATGTAAGCTAATCACTAAGGTGACATCTTATCTTCACAAATCCCAGCCATACAAAAGTTTAGATAGGGTGTGTTTCCTGTCTATTTATTTAATCTTATCTATCTTGATTATCTTGATAATAATAGACATTGACATTAAAAGCCATGGGTTTATACTGATGCCTCTAACAGCATCACTAATCATTCAATTTTTTCATATTTGTAACTCTTTTCTCTAAATGTGAGAAATTTGGTTCTGATATCTAAGACATTGTCACTTATTTACTCACTTTGTTCACTTATAGAAAATAATGAAAATAGTTTCACAATTGCTAACTCACACCTCTTTGGAAAAAAAAGTCAATATATATTTTTCAGTTCTCATCAGATGTTGTTCAAAATTTCTCTCCTTTTTAAATTTATCCTGATTGTGTTCCTTTTACACAGGAACAAATCAATTTATACATGTAGGTCTTCTTAGTTCCCCTTTTTTTCTCATTCAAAATGAAGTATAAATATTCCTTTTCACTTTTTTCCCTCCCTACATACTGGAAGAAACTCCGTCTCAATTCACAGAGATTATCTTCATTCATTTTACAACTGAATAGTATTCCATTATCCTCATCTGTCATAGAATATTGGCCTATTCTTCTATGGGCATTTAGACTGTCACAAATATATAGACATAATTTTAAATGAGACTGCAATGAATAAGCTTATGCACATGTAGCTTTGTTTGTGTAACTTCAGGATAATTTCCTGGAGTTGATGAGTTGGAAGGTAAATGTATACACAGTCCTGCTAAATATTGCCAAATTTTGCTCCATAAAGACTGTGCCAATTTTTGTTCCACCAGAAAATTATTAGGGTACAAGGTATCAGGTCAGCAAATTTAAATTATTATATTTTAATTTAATAGGATTATATTAAATGTGTTAACTCTGAAAGAACTGAAATCATTGTTATATTCAATAATTTTATTCAATGATAAAGGATAGCTCGAGTGTATGTTTTGGAAGTATTTTAAAGTTTTTCTTACATAAGTTTTTAACATTTTTTGTTACATTTCCTTGTGACCATTTTATATTCTTTTTTGTTATTTTAAAGGAAAGGATCATTTTTACCATCACATTTTCTAACTATCGTTTTGTCTACCAATGTTACTGGTTTACTTATGTCTAATTTTATATCATGATACTTTACTGAATAATTCAATTGTTTGAATTAGTTTTATTATATATTTTTGTGATAGGAAGGTGTCAGAGATGATTCTCAATGATTCCTGCTTCCTGAAATTCTTGCCTTTTAGCAATCACCTTTGCTTGAATATAAGCTAGACTTAGTGACTGGCTTCCAACTAATAGATTCTGATAAAAGTCATAGAGTGTGCCTTCCGTAATTAGGATACGTAATTCCGTAACATCTCTACATCCCTATACTGTCTACCTGGCTGGCATGTTTTGATGAAGAAAGCTACCATGTTGGAGAGGCTCATATATGCAGAACCATGGGTGATCTCTGGCCAATGGCCAGTGAGGAACTGAGGACCTCAGTCCAAAGCTCAGGGGGAACAGATCCTGCCAACAATCAAGTGAGTGAGCTGGGAAGTTCATCTTTTCCAACTTACTGTTGAGATGACTGCAGCTTTGTAATAGAGCCTGAGCCAGAGGACCCAATTAAACTCTGCCTGAAATCTTGATTCACAGACAGTGTGAGATAACTGATATTGTTTTTGTAAGACATTATGTTTCAGGGTTTTTTTAATGTGGCAATAGATTTCTAATGCAATTATTTAGGGTTTTCCAGGTAGTATTATCATCACTTCTATAAATAAAGACAGTTTTATATTTACTCCCCCAATTATTATGCCTCTCAATGATTGCTCTCATAATAGTTCCCCTTATCTGCTAGTGATACATTCCAAGACCCCCAGTGGATTTCCAAAACCCACAGGTATACTGAAGCTAATTTCCATTAGTCAGAACATGCTCCCATTCATGTCTTCTACCTACAATTTAATTCCTTTTACATCTTATTAAACACTTACAATTCACTGTGGCCATAACTTTTGAAGTACAAGGTGCAACAGGAAACCTAGCACAAATTTCTTTTTCCTTTTTAAAATTTCATAGATAGATGATTCCTTCCTATCATAGACCTTAGCAACCTCAGCACATGCCTTTTTGTCTTTCCTAAGTCAAGAACTTTCACCTTTTCCCTTAAATAAAACACTCTATGACTTCTCTTTGACATATTCGAATTGCCAGAATCACTACTCTTGTGCTTTGGGGCCATTGCTAAATAAAATAGGGGTAACTTGAACATAAGCAGTGTGACACAGTATCAGTCAATCTGATAACCAAGAAGGCCACCTGGCGGGTAGTATATACAGTGTGGATACACTGGACAAAGGAATGTTTAATGTCCTGAGCAGGATGGTGCCTCAAGGTGTGAGATTTCATCACGCTACATGGAACGACACATAATAAAAAAACTTACACATAATTTATTTCAAAATTTGCTATTAAACACTTCTGGACTGTGCTTGGCCATATATATATGTCATACATATATGTAAAACCATATATATATATATATATATATACACACACATATATATATACGTAAAACCATAAAAAGTGAAATCACAGATTAAGGGGGTCTACTGTATTTCCTTGCATTAATTAGTACCTCTGGTAGAATGTTAAATAGTAGAGGAGATAGATAATGAGTATCCTTGCATTGTACCTTCTATTAATGAAAATGCACCTAGTTTTACTATTGTGCAAGATGCTGGTTATAGAAGCTAGCTGTATAGATATAGTTAGAGGTGTGATACATATAGACGCGGATAGATAGATATATCTAACTATCATTATGTATTGTTATTTTAGAATAGTGTTATGTTTTATTTATTTCCTTTTATTTTAAAAATTTGGAGTGAGGAGTTTTGTCTCAGACTTTGTCAAAATCTACAGAGATATTCAACTTCATGTTCCTCATAAAATCTGATAATGTTGTGATAAATTTTAACCAATTTTCTAATATTGAAGCAACATTCCAGTCCTGGAATAAATCCCACTTGATCCCAATGTATTATTTCCATAATTTGGTATTAAATAGGTACGCTAATATTTCATTTAGCATTTTTCGTTGATATTCGTAAGTAACATTGTTTTGTTTTTTCATTTTTTCTACAGTCTTTACCAGATTTAAATATCAATGATATACTTAGTTCATAAAAATTAATTGAATACCTTTCATCATTTCTTGGGACTTGAAACAATTTATACAACATAAACCCTATTTTTTCATTCAAGATTTTGTAGGGTTTTTTTTTCTCTGAAACAATCTGGGTTGTATGCTGTGTGTGTGTGTATGTGTGTGTAACAGTAATAGTCCCTAAACTCCTTATGCAGCTTACTAAATTAATATTGGTAAACTGTACTTTGGAAATTATCCATGACATCTAGATTTTCAAATTAATTTACAATGAGGTCTGCAAGGAAATCTATTTTTAAGTTAACCTGATTAAATGGTAATATTTCTTTTATTATTTTTCATTTGCTTATTTCTTTATTGCCCCCTACCCTTTATTTTTTATAAAGCTAACTATTGGTTCATGTACTTAACTAATTTGAAAAAAAAAACAGATATGAAAAAAAAACTTTTTTACTCACTTCTTTATCGACTTGCCCTTTTATCTCTATTCTTTTCTTCTTTGTATGTTTCTTTATGGGTTACATTGCTGGGTTTTTTTTGTTTTTTTTTTTTTTAGAATTCTGAGTTGGTGATATAAGTTATTAAGTGTAATCCTTTCATTTTAATTAGTATAAATATGTTTAAGACTATGAATTGTCTTATGATCACTATTTTATCAGTGTTTTATAGATTTTGAGAATAGCTTTTTATTATCAGTGTATTGTGGAAATATTTTTCAACCAAATGATAATTATGGAAATTATTTAAAAATTACTTAGAAGCTCTTTTTAGTTTTGTAGTATGTATAAAATTTTTGATATTTCTTGTCTTAAAAACTTACTGTTGCTTTCTTTGTGACCTAATATATGATTATTACACATATTCCTCTCACATATTGAGAATAGTTATATTCTCTATTATCAGGGTTTAATGTTTTATATTTCTTTCAGAATTCCCACGTGTTGTGGGAGGGACCCAGGTGGAGTTAATTGAATCATGGGGACCAGTCTTTCCCATGATTCTCATGATAGTTAATAAGTCTCACAAGATCTGATGGGTTTCTGCTTTTGCTTCTTCCTCATTTTCTCTTGCTGCCACCATGTAAGAAATGCCGTTCACCTCCCACCCTGATTCTGAGGCTTCCCCTGCCATGTGGAACTATAAGTCCAATTGAACATTTTTTTCTTCCCAGTCTTGGGTATGTCTTTATCAGCAGCATGAAAACAGACTAATACATTAAATCTGTAGCAGTAGAGTGAGGTGTTACTGAAAAGATACCCGAAACTGTGGAAGCAACTTTGGAACAGGGTAACAGGCAGAGGTTGGAACAGTTTGGAGGGCTCAGAAGGATACAGGAAAATCTGGGAAAGTTGGGAACTTCCTAGAGACTTGTTGAATGGCTTTGCCCAAAATGCTGATAGCGATATGGACAATAAGGTCCAGGCTGAGGTGGTCCCAGATGGAGATGAGGAACTTGTTGGGAACTGGAGTAAAGGTGACTCTTGTTATGTTTTAGCAGAAAGACTGGCAGCATTTTGCCCCTCCCCTAGAGATTTGTGGAACTTTTAAATTGAGAAAGATGATTTAGGGTATCTGATGGAAGAAATTTCTGAGAAGCAAAGCATTCAAGAGGTGACTTGGGTTTTGTTAAAGGCATTAAGTTTAAAAGGGAAGTGGAGCATAAAAGTTTGGAAAATTTGCAGCCTGACTATGTGATAGAAAAAGAAAAACCCATTTTCTGGGGAGAAATTCAAGCTGGCTACAGAAATTTGCATAAGTTGCAAGGAGCCTAATGTTAATCCCCTAAACCATGGGGAAAATGTCTCCAGGTCATGTCAGAGACCTTCATGGCAGCCCCTATCATCACAGGCCCAGAGGCCCAGGAGGAAAAAATGGTTTTGTGGGCCGGGCCCAGGGTCCTTCTGCTGTGTTCAGCCAAGGGACTTGCTGCCCTCTGTCCCAGCCTCTCCAGCCATGCCTGAAAAGGATCAATGTACAGCTCAGGCTCTGGCTTCAGAGGGTAGAAGCCCCAAAACTTGGCAGCTTCCATATGGTGTTGAGCCTGCATGTGCACAGAAGTCGAGAACTGAGGTTTGGGAACCTCCGCCTAGATTTCAGAAGATGTATAGTAATGCCTGGATGCCCAGACAAAAGTTTGGTGCAGGGGCAGAGCCCTCATGGAGTACCTCAGCTAGGGCAGTGTGGAAGGGAAATGTGAGGTCAGAGGTCCCACACAGAGTCCCTATTGGGGCACCGTCTAGTGGAGCTATGAGAAGAGGGCCACAGTCCTGCAGACCCCAGAGTAGTAGATTCACCAACAGCTTGCACCGTGCACCTGGAAAAGCCAGAGACACTCAATGCCAGCCGATGAAAGCAGCTGGGAGGGAGGCTACGCCCTTCAAAGCCACAGGGGCGGAGCTGCCCAAGACCACGGGAACCCACCTTTTGCATCAGCGTGACACAGATGTGAGACCTGGAGTCAAAGGAGATCATTTTGGGGCTTTAAAATTAGACTGCCCAGCTTGATTTAGGACTTGCATAGGCCCTGTAACCTCTTTGTTTTGTCCAATTTCTCCTATTTGGAACTGCTGTATTTACCCAATACCTGTACCTCCCATTGTATCTAGGAAGTAACAAGCTTGCTTTTGAACTTACAGGCAAATAGGTGGAAGGGACTTGCCTTGTTTCAGATGAGACTTGGACTGTGAACTTTTGGGTTAATGCTGGAATGAATTAAGACTCTGGGGGACTGTTGGGAAGGTATGATTGGTTTAGAAATATGAGGACATGAGATTTGGAGGGGCCAGGGTCAAAATGATATGGTTTGGCTGTGTCCCCACCTAAATCTCAACTTGAATTATATCTCCCAGAATTCTCATATGTTGTGGAAGGGACCCAGGGTTAGGTAATTGAATCATGAGGGCCAGTCTTTCCCATGCTATTCTCATGATAATTAATAAGTCTCACGAGATCTGATGGGTTTATCAGGGGTTTCCACCTTGTTTCTTCCTTATTTTATCTTGCTGTCACCATGTAAGAAGTGCCTTTCATCTCCCACCATAATTCTGAGGTCTCCCCAGCCACATGGGACTGTATGTCAAATTACACCTCTTTTTCTTCCCAGTCTTGGGTATATCTTTATCAGCAGGGTGAAAATGGACTAATGTCATATTCATCTAAGAATGCAACTTTCAGATTCTCTTTATTTTTGTACACTTTATTTTGAAATTAAAATGATGTGCTTATGTCTTTTTTCATATCCTATAGTTTCTACTTTGTAAATGTGATTGTTGTGTTATTTGATGCATAATTATTTACAACTGTATTTTACTTGTGAATGTTTTTAGCATTGAAAAGTGTAGTTCTGGCTGGGTGCAGTGGCTCTCGCCTATAATCCCAGCAGTTTGGGAGGTCAAGGAGGGAGGATCACCTGAGGTCAGGAGTTCAAGACCTGCCTGGCCAGCATTGGGAAACCCGATCTCTACTAAAAATGCAAAAATTAGCCAGGTATGGTGGCATGTGCCTGTAATCCCAGCTACTTGGGAGGCTGAGGCAGGAGAATCACTTGAACCTGGAGGTGGAGGTTACAGTGAGCCAAGATCACACCATTGCACTCCAGCCTGAGTGACAGAGCAAGACTCCATGTGAGAAAAGAAAAAAAGGAAAGTGTAGTTCTTATAGTTATTTCTCATAGTTAACAATTTTAGTATGAATGCTCAGTTCTTAGAAATATAATAATGGTTGAACAACTAACTGTGAAAAACAATATTGAATTGAGAAAATATTAAGTGAATGACTGGAAAAGGGCTTCCTCGAGCTTTGTCCTTGCATATAGGGGAGATAATCTATAGTTCATTGATTTAACCATTCTGGAGCTACCACATTAGTTAGGTTTCCTGAATCTCTATTTTGAGAATAATAGCTTTCCAAAATAATGATCCTGCCTGTGATGGTGCTATATGACTTCCAGTGTGAGGAAAACGTATTTTTAAGTACATGTTTTAAAATAAAGTAAGTACAGCATTTAGAAATGCAAGAAAAAAAAACCCTTCAACCTTGAGATCAAGCTCTGTGCTGAACGCATTTGATCACCTATAGGAAAATAAGTACAGAAAATAGTATTGAATTCATCTTATCCCAAGGTTTTGAAGGTTGGTGGTACAATGCACTATTAGTGGGTTTATTTTCAAAATATCTGGACATTTCTTATCAACATCCTTGTCCTATGTAATGTATTCTAATATTTTACCCAGTCAAATTAATCATGACAATGTTTTATTATCTAATTTCAGAAGAAATGTTTGTTTACTAACAACTACCATTTGAACATACTTTCTTATGGGCACTTTCTTTAACAGTAGATGGGTAGCAATTATGAGGCATTCACTTGCTTCTACCAGGATGCTTTGGATTTATGTTTTAGAAAAACAGACCAGAACCAAAACATTACTTTTGCGATACTAACTAGCCTGACCCAGTCTTAAACATGTGATTGTTCTACCTTTTGCTTATCTAACTACCATCCCAATTGAGTAGCCTCAAATTGTGAGTGCACACTCATCTCTACAATTTGAGGCTACTAACATTCTTGGTATGTCAGTACAGTGTGCCTGGGAAACATAAAGTTCTCTTTGTCTTTCTCAGAATAAGGCATCTACCTCATTCCTCAGTCCCAAAACTTGTGCTCAGGCCATATGACTGTCTTTCTTCCTTGATTCTGGTTTCTTCTTCATTTTTCTAGTGGGATGGAAAGTTGGTGCTATACCACAAATTAATTTCTGAAAACATGAATTCTCCATTTGTAGGTTCCAGAAGCTTCTTAAATCTAAAGGCTTTACAAAGCTGCTAATAATATAGTTTATCCCAGATGGATCATTTTTTACACAGATCCTATTGTCTATGCCAAAATGTAAGTGTCCGTAAGTTTTTGTCTGAAATTTCATTGTCATTATTGTATTACCCCAAAACTGGCGCCTTTGACTTGGGTGGGATATGATCTTTCTATCTTTCTAAAGTAATTATTTTATTGTACGTATTTTTGTTGTAAGGGTTGATCATTAGAAGTAATTAATTTCTGCAGGGTGCAGTGGCTCACACCTGTAATCCCAGCATTTTGGGAGGCCGGGGTGGGCGGATTATGAGTTCAGGAATTCAAGACCAGCATGACCAACATGGTGAAAACCCGTCTCTACTAAAAATACAAAAATTAGCCAGGCATTGGGCGCACATCTGTAATCCTAGCTACTAGGGAAGTTGAGGCAGGAGAATCACTTGAACCCAGGAGGTGGAGGTTGCAGTGAGCTGAGATCATGCCACTGCACTCCAGCCTGGGAAACAGAGCAGGACTCTGTAAAAAAAAAAAATAAAGAAAGAAATAATTAATTTCAGATTTTACCACTATCAAGATCAAGATACAATGCACACACCCTAACCCAGCTCTGAATGTATTGCATATCAGAAACTGTATATTAAGAAATAGTGGCTTTTAAAAAGTTTTGAAGAATAAAAGAGATTTCACTTCAGATATCCCACAGAGAAAGTCACACAACTCATCAGGAATTTCTCACATAGATATCGCTAATCTTTTTTATTTTTCCATTATCTTTACATTTCCAACTTTCCTTCCCAATTATTTACATCTTTCATCCTGTTCAACATAGCTCAGCTTCTGTAAAAAGAGGGGAAAAAGATATTGCAAAATGATTTCTTCTGGGTTGTGTAAATATTGCTTTCTCTGAGTGAGACAAGAGAGCCCCTCTTTTCCTGCTAGCCTCATGCAGAGATGCTTCTCTCCAATGGCCATAAACAAAACATCAGCAGATGCGAGGAATAAGTGAATATCAAGGAGACAGTCACCATGGCAACCATAACCATGGAAAGTCCTCTCCACACCGACCTCTGCATCAGCAGCCAGTTAGCAATTCAGAGCATTAGCTCATGGAAATACAGAAGAAAGAGCCAAAAGAACTTCAGTGCAGTGGGCAGAAATGGACTCAGTTTAAAAATCTGAAGCCTTGTCAGAAGTTTCACTTCTCTGTCCTTGCCCAAGGGCTTGCTTAAGGCAGAATGATGAAGGGAAATATTTTCTGTGGCTTTTCTTTGCCTACAGGATAAAGGGTGTGTGTGTAGTCCTTGACCTGATATTTGAGGGTTTTTGCAGTCTATATTTTTTGGATTATTTGTATCTTGTCTTGATGGTATAGCTGCTCAAGTCAAAATAGTGTAACTCATTCTCTCCCCCCCACCCCGGAAATAACACATGCATTTCTAATATCTATTCATATTCCATCAATTGTTTGTTTCTCTTTCAGAAAGTTCTCAGATTCACCTATTGAAAAAAGCCCTGGACAACTGTCTGAATCTTTGAACTTTTATTTCATTCATGAAGTCTTCCCCAGACAATACAATTGACAGTTATTTCAACTGTCAACAGTTGTGTGAGGACAAAATTCTTGGGTTCACTTCTCAATTAGATATTTAAAATTGAGTGGCATTGGACTTAACTTCTCACATGTTAAATAATGTTAGTTAATAGTTTTTGAAAATCAAATGAGAGGCTGCGTGCGGTGGCTCACTCCTGTAATCCCAGCACTTTGGGAGGCTGAGGAGGACATATCACGAGGTCAGGAGTTCAAGACCAGCTTGACCAACATGGTGAAACGCTGTCTCTACTAAAAATACAAAAATTATCTGGTTGTGGTGGCATACACCTGTAATCCCAGCTACTCAGCAGGCTGAGGCATGAGAATTGCTTAAACCCAGGAGGTGGAGGTTGCAGTGAGCTGAGATCACACCATGGCACTCCAGCCTGGGCGACAGAGTGAGACTTTGTCTCAAAATAAATAAATAAATAAAGAAAAATAAAGAAAAAAAAAGAAAAAAAGACAGAATGTAGGGAAACTAAATACATAAATAATACAGGGTTGCAATTCATATTATAATGTTTTAATATAAACTCAATTTTATTTTAGATTCAGAAGGTACATGTGCAGGTTTGTTACATGAGTACATTGCATGATGCTAAGGTTTGGGATATCAATTATTTTGACACAAATATTGTTTTTCATTTATGTAACTTTCTATTTTCATACCACCTTCATGGAAGAGTCCCAGTTGGCATAATAAATACGTGCTGAATGTACAAGTGCATGAAGAATGTGGAATATGGAATGCTAGGGCAGAGAATCATTGAACTTCCATTAATGGCATGGAATGATGTGGAAGAAGGTACATTTGGAGGAATACACACACACAAACACACACACTAACACACACACATATATAAAATACCATTGTAAACCAACTTATTTTATCTTCTTTCAAAAAAGCTATAGCTTCCCTATAATTAAGGACTTAATTGAGATATTTCAAACAATGAGTCAGTTTATTCATTAGATATATTTTTTAGAATTGTCCAAACTGTAAAAACCAAAATCACAAACGAGCATTGTCAAAGTGAAGAAATGAGTAATCAGCCCTTTTTTTTTCTGGCTGAAACCTACTAATTCCTGAAAAGTCTCTTAGCTATAACCTTTTCCCAAAAACCTCCTGTGCCTTCCCAGACATTGTGAGCTCTCTCTTTACTCTTTCATAGCACCTTTTCTGATTGTACAAAACTATTTACCACAGCAATAAAACACTCTGTTTATGTGGTTTCCCACAGTTCTTACATTAGTCTAATTATTGTTACCCTGTGCCTTTTTTTTGACACAGGGTCTTGCTCTGTTGCCCAGGCTGGAGTGCAGTGGTATAATCATGGATCACTGCAGCCTTGAACTCCTGGGCTCAAGCAATCCTCCTACTTCAGCCTCCCGAGTAGCTGAGACCACAGGTGTTCGCCACCATGCCTGGCTAATTTTTTTTTGTAGAAATGGGGCCTCCCTATGTTGCCCAGGTTCGTCTTGAATTCCTGGGCTCAAGTGATACTCCTGCCTCAGCCTCCCAAAGTGCTAGGATTACAGGCATGAGCCACCACACCCAGCCCTGTGTCTCCTTTACTACTCCAACTGTGTTCATAATAATAGCACAAGACCCTCTAAAAAGTGATTACTTGGTGCATGAGTGAATTAATGCATGTATAAATGAGTTAATTAATGGATAGAAAAATAAATGGATCAATCAATTTAAATGGATGTCACAAATATGTAAGCATCTGAGTAAAAATTTTTCCAAATTATTCAGAAACATTTGAGATTTTAGAATCATCCTATCCTATGATTGCATATACTTTATTGCCTCATATTTATTTTTCCAAATTTTATTTAAATACCTTTACAAAAAATACTAGTATATTTATTTCTCTATTTCATAGCTATGGTAACCAAGTCATATATGTCTTTGCAGATGATCTATCTAGGTGGTTCTCAATCTGTGGTTGTCAAACTATATAATGAACTATTTTGTATATAAACATCTAGAGAAAAATACATTAAACAAGAGGAAGAAATAAAGGGTATTCAAATAGAAAGAGAGGAAGTCAAATTGTCTGTTTACAGATTACATGATTCTATATTTAGAAAACCCCATTATCTCAGCCCAAAAACTCCTTAAGCTGATAAGCAACTTCAGCAAAGTCTCAGGATACAAAATCAATGTGCAACAATCATAACCATTCCTATTCACCAATAACAGACAGAGAGCCAAATCATGAGTGAACTCCCATTCACATTTGCTACAAATAGAATTAAATACCTAGGAATACAACTTATAAGGGACAGAAGAACCTCTTCAAGAAGAACTACAAACCACAGCTCAAGGAAGTAAGACAGGACACAAACAAATGGAAAAACATTCCATGCTCATGGATAGGAAGAATAAATATCATGAAAATGGCCGTACTGCTCAAAGTAATTTATAAATTCAATACTGTTCCCATCAAGCTACCATTGACTTTCTTCGCAGAATTGGAAAAACACTACCTTAAATTTCATATGGAACCAACAAAGACCCCTATAGCCAAGACAATCGTAAGCAAAAAGAACAAAGCTGGAGGCATCACGCTATCTGACCTCAAACTATATGACAAGGCTACAGTAACCAAAACAGCATAGTACTGGTACCAAAACAGATATATAGACCAATGGAACAGAACAGAGATCTCAGAAATAACACCACACATCTACAACCATCTGATCTTTGACAAACCTGACAAAAACAAGCAATAGGAAAAGGATTCCCTATTTAATAAATGGTGCTGGGAAAACTGGCTAGCCATATACAGAAAACAGAAACTGTACCCCTCTCTTACCACTTATACAAAAATTAACTCAAGATAGATTAAAGACTCAAATGTAAAACCCAAAACGATAAAAACCCTAGAAGAAAACCTAGGCAATACCATTCAGGATATAGGTATGGACAAAGACTTCATGACTAAAACACCAAAAGCAATGGCAACAAAAGCCAAAATTGACAAACGGGATCTAATTAAACTAAAGAGCTTCTGCACAGCAAAAGAAACTAGCATCAGAGTGAGCAGACAACCTACAGAATGGGAGAAAATTCTTGCAATCTACCCATCTGACAAAGGTTGAATATCCAGAATCTACAAAGAACTTAACCAAATTTACAAGAAAAAAACAAACAACTCTATCAAAAAATGGGCAAAAGATATGAACAGACACTTCTCAAAAGAAGACATTCATGTGGCCAACAAACATATGAAAAAAAGCTCATCATCATTAGTCATTAGAGAAATGCAAATCAAAACCACAATGAGATACCATCTCACATCAGTCAGAATGGCGATTATTAAAAAGTCAGGAAACAATAGATGTTGGCAAGGCTGTGGAGAAATACGAATGCTTTTACACTGTTGGTGGAGTGTAAATTAGTTCAACCATTGTGGAAGACAGTGTGGTGATTCCTCAAGGATCTAGAACCAGAAATACCATTTGATCCAGCAATCCCATTACTGGGTATATACCCAAAGGATTATAAATCATTCTACTATAAAGACACATGTACACGTATGTTTATTGTGGCACTATTTACAATAGCAAAGACTTGGAATCAACCCAAATGCCCACAAATGACAGACTGGATAAAGAAAATGTGGCTCATGTACACCATGCAATACTACGCAGCCATAAAAAAGAATGAGATCATGTCCTTTACAGGGACATGGATGAAGCTGGAAGCCATCATTATCAGCAAACTAATACAGGAACAGAAAACAAAACATCACATGTTCTCACTCACAAGTGGTAGCTGAATGATGAGAGCACATGGGCACAGGAAGGGGAACAACACACAACAGGTCCTGTCT
This sequence comes from Homo sapiens, assembly GCF_000001405.40. Classification (NCBI taxonomy): domain Eukaryota; kingdom Metazoa; phylum Chordata; class Mammalia; order Primates; family Hominidae; genus Homo; species Homo sapiens. Next base: position 136,761,794 of record NC_000008.11, on the reverse strand, counting down.
GGAGATGGGGAGCAAGGGGAGGGGACAGCATTAGGACAAATACTTAATGCATGCAAGGCTTAAAACCTAGATGATGTGTTGATAGGTCCAGCAAACTACCATGGCACATGTATGCCTGTGTAACAAACCTGCACATTCTGCACATGTATCCCAGAACTTAAAGTAAAAAATAAATAAATAAATATAAGAAAAAAAGAAAAGTATATTAAGGTACATTATGTGACCACAGAAGCTATTAGTAAATGTAGTTTGATTGGTACATAATTGTTTCAAAACATTAATTTTTAACACATAGAAATAAATAGAAATGTATATAATTCTTAATGAGGAAAATATTGGGAACACATAGCTTACTCCATTACTATCCCTTTACCCATAGAAACAAATATTGAGACCGCAAAAGGGCAAAGGCTTTTTTATTTAGTGGCAGAATCAGAAAAGTTAATGTATTCGTCAATCTTAAGGCCATTGTTCTTTCAACTAATCCATACAGAAATTTGCAACACGATTTTGAAACATCTGTATAATTTTCTCATTCTCTACTTTCTCTCCTAAGTGTAGCTTCAAATCAGATTTCACAAGAAGAATCACATCATACTCTTATTGTCTCTTACAGATTGTTTCAGGCTAATTTACTAGGAAATCATGCAAAGCTTTGGACATTTGAAGAGTTAGTTAGCTGAGTCCAGGCAGAAGCTTATAGATGACAAGTCTAATGTTGTTTTAAAAATGATATAATTCCCAATATGACCTAGTGATTTAATTGACTTGTATTAAAAAAATATGAAGGTAGGAGTTGGAACCAATGATGTCCACTTATTTTTAATTAAATTTCTGAAAGCAATGGGCCTCTATCACTAGATGGGTTGTTATCTGTAACTCATGGGTCTTAAATAAGGGACTTTTAGTATCTAATTTTGTATTACTAGAAGAAAGCTTGACAATTTTTCTACAGCAGTAATTGAATAAATATATATTTTATTTGGCATTAAAAAGACATCATTGATGCAGAACTCTAATAAGGAGGATGTACTACTTTTATTTGAGAAGTAGTTCAGAAGACCATCATATAAATCATCTAAATTTAATTAGCACATAATAGAATCTGAATTGTATTAATGTATTAAGACTGGAAAACACATGTTTAAAAAAAATAGCCATGGAAATTTTTGGTTGATACAATTAAACTGGCATTTACATTAAACTGTAGAAGTTAGCAAAGGGCAAAAGAGTGGATTTCTTAGTCTGCTCAGACTACCACAACAAATATCACTGACTAGGGGTTTTAAGGACCAGAAATGCATTTTCTGAGAGTGTTGGAGGCTGGAAAGTCTCAGACTAAAGTTCATCACAGCTGGTTTCTGGTAAGAATTCTCTCCCTGGCGTGTAGATGACCATCTTCTTGTTATGTCCTCATGTAGTCTTTCCTCAATGGGTGTGCATAAAGACAGAGAGAGAGAGAGAAGGAGAAAGTGAGAGCAAGAGCAAGATAGAGAGAGAGAGCGAGCTCTCTGGGATTGCTTCTTGTTAGGACACTGTTCCCATGAGATCAGGATCCCACTGCTATGCCCTCATTTAACCTTAATTCTTTCCTTAGAGGCCCTATCTCCAAATGTAATCACCATACACACTTTGGAGGAACACTAACATCCAGTCCATATCAGTAGAGAAGAAACTAATGTGAATTTATTTAATAAATAATCACTGCTAGCTTACTGTGTTCCAGACACTGTGCTAGCCATTGACATTAAAACACAGGCTCTGTCCTTACTTTCAATTTATAACTTAGTCCTGGAATAAGTTATCATTTACAGTGATAAAACTACACCATGTAAATTACGATTATTTGGTGGGAAACACCAGGAACAGACTTGCTGACTTGCTAGGTATATCAAGAAATGAACACACACACACACACACACGCATGCACGCACACACACACACAGAGAGTATATATTCTTCCTTAATAATATTGGAGAACACCAAATCAAAGCAGGGGTCTTTCATAGGAAATGCAACTACTCAACATTGTCATGAAGATACTATTGAATGAATAAACTCCAGTTAATTTTTTTCATTTGTGTCACTCTTTTCACAACTCAAATGTCCTACAGTTTAAGTAGGTCTTTCCAGCAATGATCCTTATGCTCACTCTGGATAGCTTGAATCACCCCACACACATATACTCACTCAGCCAGTGGCACTGTGCTGGGGATCAGTATCCTCCCACATGGATGGTGTCTTCCCCCCTGTGTAAAATCCCACTGGTCTCAAGACCGTCAGGTTCTGGGCAGCAGGCATTCACAGGCAACTCCTACAGTCAGACGACCCAGCTCCCCAGAAGTGTGGATGTGCCGTCACTGATAAGTCAGCTTTGGCATTTGCTTGGAAGAAGGGAGCATTGGTGTGGTGTGGGGAGTTGGGGTCCCACAGCACGTCCAGCAGAGCACCATGGCCCAAGCACACCTCTTCTGCAACAACTGGAGAGTGGGAGACCTGCATCCTCCATTCATCTGACCTTTATGATGTCTTCAACAATTCTATTTGTTAACCTGCCCAGAGGAAGTGAAATTTGAATGTGTGACTTCAATAACTAGCAGACTTCTTTTTCACTCAGTGAATCGGATACATTTAAAAAAAATCTGTTGTAATAAAATTATAGAACACTTAAAAGCCACAGCAAAATCCAGAAAAGATCCTTAAGAATTTCCTAACACAATGTACTCTTCAGCTTCTGTTTTTCCATGAATCTTGTCTGTTTGTTATGGTAGACAAACTAATTCCCCTCCAACTATCTTGTGGGAATATTTAAATAAATGTGAGCTTTGCTCTGTGGTCTCATGTATTGGGAAAGGTTATGTATTTTCCTTATGCCGCAGTGAGTCACCTGTGGTGTGGATGTGTGTGCATGTATTCCCTGTTTGAGGCTAGAAAGCTGGAACAAGTGACTTATTGGAGCTCTTCTCAGTTTTGAGTTTTATGATAATTGGCGATTGATGATCTTGCTTCTCATTTTTATTATGAAATACATCCCAGTTGCATTTTAAGTAAGCTCTACATACGTGGGAGTATTAGTAAAGAAGGAAACCTATCTTCATTTTGATCACTAGTGGATAAAAAGGTTAAAAAGAAGAATGATACAAAAAAATTAAGGAAGAAACAAGGTAGATAAACTCACTTGAGGTCACAAGTGAATGAGCAGCACCACCATTTTGCATAGTTTGTGATTCAATTCACACATACACACAAACATACACACACACACATACACACACACAAATTGTCTGAAATATAAATGTGTCAAATCACCAATTTTTATTTTATCAATTTATTGATTTATTAAACATTAAAGATTTATAAAGTTCACCAAAATTCTCATCCAATAGGATGATTTTAGTAACTTTCTATTGGTTTTGTTTGTATTGATGTTTGGTGATTCGTTTTTAGCTCATCTTTATACCAGAAGTTTAAGCAACAGATGATTTCTTGAAAGCCAATAGGTAAGTTTGCACTTTTATTATTACTTTAAAAAATGTCTACTATTTAGAAATGTACACTTAATCAGTAACCAAAATTACCGTCTGAGAATAGCATCCTATATCTGAAATCCCTTCACCATAAGTACGGTATGTGTGGGAAGGATTCTGAAAAGAAAACATAGAAAGTTAATAATTCAATTGTTAATACCTAAGAATTCTGGGTTAATCGGTGTGGGACTGAGTCAAAGGTAAAAATCACCTAAATATTAGCTATAAGTAGAAATGACATTTTCATAATTTGAGAGTATTCACAGAAGCTGAAACAATCCCATCACCAAAGAAAGTTTGAAATACAAAAACGACAAAGATAAACTGAAAAATTCAGGTTAATATGACTTTTGTGAAGTTGTTAAAAGATTATGAAAATAATTGATTTTAAAGAAAAATAAAATGCATGAAAATTGAAATTGACCTAAATAATCCAAACAGAAATAAGATCCTGAAATGTTGGTATCTGAGAGGGAATAATTCAGATAAATAAATTTGGCAGCAGTTTACAAAAAGACTCAATATGCTGAAATAAAACTATGCCATACAGCAGGAAGGAAAGATGGCTAGAATAAACTGCTATAATGGATATTGAGTATGGAGGTGGGCATTAATCATAAATATGAAAAAGTATAGGAATTACTAGGATTTTTTTTAAAAATCATAGAAATGAAGCAAAAATAGGAGCAACATCACAGCTTTCCAAATCTAAGCTTAATAAATTAGCCTAAAAAATACTGAAAAAATATTTATAAAATTTGAAATGACTTTTAAAAAAGGATAAAAGAAATTCCTATGAACTGAAATACTGTATTTAAAATGCTGAGCTTTGAGTGCTGCCCATGCAATATTATTTTCTCAATGTCAGTACACTTTTTTTTTTTTTTTTTTTTGAGACGGATTCTGGCTCTGTCGCCCAGGCTGGAGTGCAATGGCGCGATCTCGGCTCACTGCAAGTTCCGCCTCCCGGGTTCACGCCATTCTCCTGCCTCAGCCTCCAGAGTAGTTGGGACTACAGGTGCCCGCCACGACGCCCGGCTAATTTTTTGTATTTTTAGTAGAGACAGGGTTTCACCGTGTTAGCCAGGATGGTCTCGATCTCCTAACCTCGTGATCCGCCCGCCTCGGCCTACCAAAGTGCTGGGATTACAGGCGTGAGCCACCGTGCCTGGCCGTCAGTACACTCTTAAAAAGGAAATCACTCTGTGGCTCTTTAACCTCTGCCAATTAAACGTTTGAAAAATATTTCAATGACAACAAAATAATCTACTAAATATTTGCAGAAATCTTTAGTGATTTAAAATTCAGATAGTAAAATCTGCTCCATTCAATTGCTACAAATTTTTAATTTATTTTTATGATATATTGGTAGATTTTGTATTTGGAACAAGCTGGTCACATGTGGACTGGTCATTGGCGAAATGTTCATTAAGTAGGTGGATTGTTAGCAAATGATTTTTAGAGAAATACGCTACTTCCTTGCAGAGCCCCTTACTGATATACATGATACATACATAAAAAGTGTGTATGGCCCACTCGTAGCAAATAATAATTCTACATTATTTCTAAAATTGACAAGGTGAAGTTTTCTAAGTAGAGATCCAGTATGAATTCTAGAGAGGGCTGTAATAGGAGGTCAAGAGAGAACTACTGGTCTCAGTCAAGAACACTGATGTGTAACAGAGAATGGAATACAGACAGAAAACAGAGATTTCAGGAGCTTTCCAAGAAAAGAAGTAGAAATTATAAAACCAAAACCCCTAAGAGTACTTTATATGACGTTTTAAGTTTGTATAGCCTTCTCAGGTTTGACATATTTTATAGTATTGCAGTTTTCCTTTCTTGTTTAATGGTAATAAATGTATAATACAAAAAGACAAACACAAAGACTACATACAAAAGCTGAGTTATTTTACTCACAAGCCTACTCTGTTTTATTTACATGGCAACCCTAGGGAACAAGAAAAATTGTTTTAAATTGAATATACATTGTTAAAAGCTTATTTATTTAACTTATTAATACATGTATGAATTAACAGTGTAGAACCAAAGTGAGTGACTGATCAAATAAATTATTGCTTTGTGGTGTAGGACTGGTAGAAGACAGTTAGAAATATCTCATCCTGCTTTGAAGGCCAATTTGAGACTAATGAAAGTCCAAAAGGCAGATCGGGGCATGTTGACTAGAGACAGAAAGAGTAGAAGGCTAAATCCATGGAGTCTGAGATGAGAAATAAAGAAGGGTATTGGGAAGCAATCTGGGTTATAAAATGCCCCCCAAGTGAATCCTAGAGTACTCCCATCCAAACTTTGAAAAATGGAGAATTAAATTCCTCAAGAATCAGATGAGGCCACAGATAAAAATATCCTTTTCAACCAGGGAACTCTGGAAAATTGATTCTTGATTTTGAAAGTAAAGCAATTTTTATTTGATTCAAAGGCATCTTCAGAGGGCAAAAAAAGTTTAATGTGTATGCGGTGCATTTGAAGACTTTTCCAGGGTCCAAGAAGCTCTCCTTTGGGTACTGTAAGCTGGTTTATTATCCATTATCTGTAACACAAAGATAATGAAAGTGGTACAATCGTCTGTTCAGAAAGTCCACAGGAATACCAGGATTTGACAGCCATGATATATCTCAGTTAGTTTTTCCTGTGTAAAACCATCACAAATCATAGAACAGACAGCATGTTTGTTAAAGAGACTACACATTGAGATGATGGAGTTATTCATTTATCTTCATTGAAAAAACTCAGACTGCACTATGGTGGGTAGCATAAATCTCATCCTATACAAGATTCTCTCCTCTAATGACTTCTCTTAGCAATTTGCTTAAAACCATCTTTGTTTTCTAGTGCACAACAGTGATACGACATTTCTGATTAGTCTCTGAAACTTTCAACCCAATTTGTGGTGCTGAAGTCTAGAAAATGGTTATATTTGAATAAAATAAAGGATTCAAAAACGTCCTAGGAAAAGGAGCTTGGTACTTAAAACATTAATAAGCATGGAAAAGCACGAAAAATGTAAGCCCACTTAAAATTCAACTTGTGTTTCTGATTGCTCAAGTGAAGCATCACTTCCTCAGAGATCATTTCTATATGCACAGATAATATGATTTATTTGATCATTTAATGTCAGCTGAAAAAAGTCAAATGATATAGAGTGAGGAGAGGTGAAGGCTGCACAGTCAAATTGATAACATAATCAATGTTTTACAGTGTAATTATGATACAGATCAGCAAAATATTTAAAAATAAAGAAATAATATATTCTTTAATATAAATATAGGAAGAGAGATGAAAAGGAAATCCAACATAGAAAAAAGCCAGTTGAAAGAAAGGAAAGAGGGAAGCAAGGAAGGAAGAAAGGAAGGAAGAACAAAAGGAAAGAAAGAAAGTGGAGAAAAAAAAAAAAAAAGCCGAGCATGGTGGCTCCCGCCTGTAATCCCAGCACTTTGGGAGGCTGACGTGGGAGGATCACCTGAGGTCAGGAGTTCGAGACCAGCCTGGCCAACATGACAAAACCCCATCTCTGCTAAAAATACAAAACTTAGCTGGGTGTGGTGGCAGGAGCCTGTAATCCCAGCTACTTGGGAGGCTGAGGCAGGAGATTTGCTTGAACCTGGGAGTCAGAGATTGCAGTGAGCTGAGATCGCGCCATTGCACTCCAGCCTGGACAACAAGAGTGAAACTCTGTCTCAAAAATAAATAAATTAATTAATTAAAAATAAAGAAAAGGAAAAAGAAAGTGGAGAGAAGGAAGGAAGGACAGAGAGAAGAAAGGGAAAAAAGAGATAGAGAGGATACAGGAAACAGAGAAAATGGGAAGGGAGTGAGGAAAAGAGATTAGCTCTCCAATATTCACTGTGTGTGAAACATGCCAAAGACAGTTCCAGCTGATTTCTTATACACTATTGAGTTTTATCCTGAAATCAACACTGCCAGATAGGGGTTTTGTTTGTCTCTTTAATTTCTTCATTATATTCAGGAAAGTCTTCTTCTCCCCCGCAAGGGGGGAAGAAAGGTTTCTTAGCAAAAATAAGTAAAGAAATCGTTTAATTTCTGCACATTTGAAAAATGCTTCCTGCCATCTCACTCTCCTTTCTTCTATTCATTTTTCTTACAGGTCCACTCCTGCAGAAGCAACTAATCCAAATGAGTTGTATGGCTTTTATACTAATGTCTGAATTTTATCTTGAGATAAGCCCTCATGCTAAACATTTGGAGTTTTAGTCATTCCTCATGGGCTCTTTCCCCGTCTTCTGTCTTCAAGTAGCCAATTGTTATTACCATATTGCTTAAGTGAGAATATTTACTCGCCTTAAGAAAACAACCATTGATATGTGGGATAGGTCGACTTTTTATGTTGTTTTCCCTATCAATCTCTAATGTTTACTATTTCTACACATCCTCATATCTCCTATACTAGGTCGAAGATGAGAGGCTTTATCTTCCTAAATATTCCATCTGTGCCAAACCAACATCACTTTTTATAATTTTAATTTCTCTCTTAAATGCTAATTCTCAGGGAAATCAATGAAAACAACATATAAATTCACCCCGATTTCTCCTAATGTCTCTTTTCTTTCTTCATTCATTTCGAAGCTTCAAAAAAAAAAAAAAAAAAAACTCAAAAAGCAGTACGCTTTGCAGACTATTTCCAATATTTCACTTTCTTTTCTCTCTTTAGTCGCCTGCATTCTGGCTTTTATCACAGTATATAATGAAATAGCTTTCAACAAGATTAAGAAACAAGCAAAAATCTCCCCATTTTTCTGGTCAATTCCATTGCATTTTTCAAAAATGTCACCTCATCTGTCTCTGTGAGACATCTTATATTGTGGCCATTCAACTTATTTTTTAAATTCATTCTTTTACTCTCTGACTACTATGCTACTCTGTTCTACAATTATTTCCTGCACCCCCTAGCCATTTTATTAGAGTTTACTTTTGTGTGTATTATTCTCATTGCTTACCTTAAATGGTGATGATTTTCAAGTCTCTGTTTAATACCTGCTGCTGACTCCACATAATCCTTAGAGATTCATTTACACTCACTGCTTCAACTGACACCAAAATGGTTATATCTTTCAAATTTCTAAATTCATTCTATATGCTTAACCCATTAGTAAACATATCTATCTAAATGCACCAAGACTATCTCTGATTCTGTATGCTTCCAAATAATTAATTTATTTTTTCCTCCCAATAAAAAATAAAAATAAAATAATACAAATCATGTAGTCAAGAGTTGTGAATCTTACCCTCATGGAATTTATTCAAAGTGCAGTGACGAAGAATGATGTCAGCAAGATGGTAGGATAAGATTTCTCCAAGTTTTGCTTCCCTCCACAAAAATCCAACTACCAACTATCCAAATAATAATACTAATAATACTAATAATAATACCATCTGAGTATTCCAGAACTTAAGGGGAGGCTTAAACACTCCCTTGGATGGCAGAACCATAAAATGCTGTAATGAAATGGTAAGAATGCTTCTCTTTCACTTTGCCACCACACCCCCACGCAAGAACAGTGCAACACAGAGATCATTATCCTGGACCACAATTTCTATAGGGAAGAAAGTGAGCTAGAGGCATTCATTCAGCTTTCTCAATATTCTGGGACCCTTGGCAGGATGCTTACTCCCATTGCATTCCATCAGAAATGTTGGGAACACTGCCAGAGCTAGACCACCTAGAATTCAGATAGACACAAAGGATGGGGGTGGGGCTCGCAGCAACCAACATGCAGAACTTGGTGGTTGCTCTGCATTCCAACCAAGAGACACTACACTAGAGAAAGTAGCCAACCATGCTGCATGAAGCACAATTCACAGGTCTTTCAGGGTCAAACGGTTAGCCACTTTTCCCACACAGCCCGGGTGCTCTCATCAAGTCTTCTCCAGGCCCCATTTTGGAGAAGGGAAGGCACTAGACAGACTTCACCTGGGAAGTCAATCAGCAGTTCCAGTCAGGTAAAAAGCACACCCAACAGACTTGGCCAAACAGGGAGATTCCAATCTTTGTGGATTTTAATACTCAATAATGCATTTATAAGGAACATAGCCTCTAATTCAGCCTGTCCCAAGCAACAACTCTGCCAATCCTCAGATCCCAGCCTGAAGCCCTCACCCAAGCAGATCCCAAATAGCAGAATTGCCCAGCCAGAAAATACATCTTGTGACCAGCCTAAGCTGAAGCTATCACAGTACCCAGCCAGGAGCTCTGCCTAACAGCAAAGCCCAGTCAGTTGTCTCACTGGGCAATGAAGCCCAGCCAGCAGCCACACCAAACATCTCAGCAAAGGCAGAGGTCCAGCAAACTAGAGAACTCAACATAAGCTCCACCTACCTGATGTTTTTACTTTGGGGCCCATCCAGAATCACAAGTTAGACTACATAGTGAAGGTCTATCCTTGTGGAAAAACAAAAACAAAAACAAAAACAAAACAAAAAAACCTGCCAAGGCCAGAAGAGGGAGCTATCTCCTCAAATGTGTAGCAATTAATGCAAAAGCACAAGGATTACAATCAGGGAATCATAACACTTCCAAAATAAACTAATAAAATTTCCATAATAGGCCTCAAAGAAAAGGAGATCTGCAAAATGACTGACAAATAATTCAGACTAATACTTATAAAGAAGTTCAATAAACTACAGAAATGTATGGATTAAAAGTTTAGTAAAAATTTAAAAACAATATACAAAAAGGTGAAACGTTTGACAAAGAAATGGAAAAAATTTAATAATCAGATTAAAATCCTAGAGATGAAGAACACAATGACTAACCTAAAAATATATAATAGAAAGCTTCAACAGCAGACTTAATAAACCACAGAAAAGAACCAGTGAGCTGGAAGAATAAACATATAAAATTATCCAGTCAGAGAAGCAAAAAGACAAAATAATAAAAAATAAGAAAGAAAGCCTGCTAGAATTCTGAGACAACATCAAGCGATCAAATTATGCACAATAAGCGTTTAGATAGGGAAGAAGGAAAAAAAGGGCCAGAAAGCATATTCAGTGAAATTATGACTGAAATTTGCCCTAATCTGAGGATACAGGCCAGCATCCAGTTACAAGAAGCACAGAGTTCTTCAATCAAATTCAATTAAAAGAAGAGTAAACCATGATAAATTATAGTTAAAATAATAATTAAATTATCAAAAAATAAAGACAAAGAAAAAAATTGAGAGCTGCAAGAGATAAGAAATACATCATATAGAAAAGTGTGCCAATTCTACTATCAGCAGATTTCTCAGTAGAATCCCTGCAGGCCAGGAAAGAGTATGATAATATGTTTAAAGTGCTGAAGGAAATGTCTCTCCACATACACACACATAGACACACATACACACCCCCCCAACAAACAAAACCCTTGCTAAACAAGACTACTTTACCCAACAAATCTGTATTTCATAAGTGAGGGAGAAATAAAAACTTTCTCAGACAAATGAAAGCTAAGGGATTTGATCACCATTAGACCTGCCTACAGTAATTGTTAAAGGGAGATATTTAAACTAAAACAAAGAGCTATTAGTTAATAACATAAAACATACAAAAACACAAAACTCAATGGTAAAAATAAAACACAGCCGTAGTTAGAATATTTTAGAGTTTTAAAAATGGTACATAGGGCAATTTCGTCCCAAGTATGAAGGTAAAAAACAAAACTATTAATAACTATAGCTAAGTTAAATTGTCAAGGAATACACACTACAAAATGATGTAAATTCTAATATAAAATGTAGGGTGGAGATAGTAGAAGTCTAGAGTTGTATGCAGTTACATGTAAGTTCTTGAGAGGTTGACATAGGCTGTTATAAGTTTAAGATATTTTAGGTAAGCCTCATGGTAACCACAAATCCAAAATCTTTAATAGAAGCACAATACAAAAATGGAAAAGATTCAAAGCACCCTGCTAAAGAAAGCTATCAAATCACAAAGAAAGATGGCGAGAGAAAAAGAAACAATTATCTACAAACAGCCAGGAAACAATTAACAAGATGGCAGTAGCAAGTCCTTATGTATCAATCATTAGCTTGATAGTAAATGGACTAAATTCTCCAACATAAAGACCCAAAGTGGGTGAATTAATTTAATTTAAAAAAAAAGATCCAGCTCTATGCTGAATAGAAGACACTCACCTCACCTTTAAAGATATATATAGACTGAAAATGAAGGAAGAAAGAGAGATATTCCATGCAAATGGAAACCAAAAGGCAGCATGGTGGATATAAATATATCAGCCAAAATAGACTTTAAGTAAAAAACAGTAAAAAGAGGCAAAAATGACATTATATATTGATAAAGGAATTAATTCATCAAGAGAATATAACAATTCTAAATATGCACCCAACACCTGAGCACCTAAATATATAAAACAAATATTAAATAATCAGAAGGGAAACAGCAATACAATAATGGTAGGATATTTCAATACCCTACTTTCAAAAATTGATTGATCATTCAAACAGAAAATTGATAAGGAAATTTTGGACTCAAACAATTCACTAAATCACATGGACCTAAAAGACATATACAGAATATTTTATCCAAAACAATGGAATAAACATTCATCAAGGGTACGTGGAACATCATACCACAAGGACACAGAAAAAGAAGCCCAAAGTTAGCAGAAGGAAAGAAATAATAATGATCAGAGTAGAAATAAATGAATTGGAGACTAGAAAAATAATACAAAGTTGCCTGTTCACTCTGATGGTAGTTGCTTTTGCTGTGCAGAAGCTCTTTAGTTTAATTAGATCCCATTTGTCAATTTTGTCTTTTGTTGCCATTGCTTTTGGTGTTTTGGACATGAAGTCCTTGCCCATGCCTATGTCCTGAATGGTAATGCCTAGGTTTTCTTCTAGGGTTTTTATGGTTTTAGGTCTAACGTTTAAATCTTTAATCCATCTTGAATTGATTTTTGTATAAGGTGTAAGGAAGGGATCCAGTTTCAGCTTTCTACATATGGCTAGCCAGTTTTCCCAGCACCATTTATTAAATAGGGAATCCTTTCCCCATTGCTTGTTTTTCTCAGGTTTGTCAAAGATCAGATAGTTGTAAGTATGCGGCATTATTTCTGAGGGCTCTGTTCTGTTCCATTGATCTATATCTCTGTTTTGGTACCAGTACCATGCTGTTTTGGTTACTGTAGCCTTGTAGTATAGTTTGAAGTCAGGTAGTGTGATGCAGAGTGAACAGGCAACCTACAAAATGGGAGAAAATTTTTGCAACCTACTCATCTGACAAAGGGCTAATATCCAGAATCTACAATGAACTCAAACAAATTTACAAGAAAAAAACAAACAACCCCATCAAAAAGTGGGCGAAGGACATGAACAGACACTTCTCAAAAGAAGACATTTATGCAGCCAAAAAACACATGAAAAAATGCTCATCATCACTAGCCATTAGAGAAATGCAAATCAAAACCACTATGAGATACCATCTCACACCAGTTAGAATGGCAATCATTAAAAAGTCAGGAAACAACAGGTGCTGGAGAGGATGTGGAGAAATAGGAACACTTTTACACTGTTGGTGGGACTGTAAACTAGTTCAACCATTGTGGAAGACAGTGTGGCGATTCCTCAGGGATCTAGTACTAGAAATACCACTTGACCCAGCCATCCCATTACTGGGTATATACCCAAATGACTATAAATCATGCTGCTATAAAGACACATGCACACGTATGTTTATTGCGGCATTATTCACAATAGCAAAGACTTGGAACCAACCCAAATGTCCAACAATGATAGACTGGATTAAGAAAATGTGGCACATATACACCATGGAATACTATGCAGCCATAAAAAATGATGAGTTCATGTCCTTTGTAGGGACATGGATGAAATTGGAAATCATCATTCTCAGTAAACTATCGCAAGAACAAAAAACCAAACACCGCATATTCTCACTCATAGGTGGGAATTGAACAATGAGATCACATGGACACAGGAAGGGGAATATCACACTCTGGGAACTGTGGTGGGGTGGGGGGAGGGGGGAGGGATAGCATTGGGAGATATACCTAATGCTAGATGACGAGTTAGTGGGTGCAGCGCACCAGCATGGCACATGTATACATATGTAACTAACCTGCAGAATGTGCACATTTACCCTAAAACTTAAAGTATAATAAAAAAAAAGAAAAATAATACAAAGGATCAACAAAGCAATAAGTGGGTTGTTTTGAAAAGATAAACCAAATAGGCAAACTTTAGCTACCTGTATTAGTCCGTTCTCATGCTGCTATGAAGAAATACCTGAGACTGGGTAATTTATAAAGAAAACAAGTTTAATTGCCTCACAGTTCCGCATGGCTGGCAAGGCCTCAGGAAATTTACAATTATGGCAGAAGGCATCTCTTCACAGGTCAGCAGGAGAGAGAATGAGTGCAAGCAGGGAAAATGCCAGACACCTATAAAACCATCAGATCTCGTGAGACTCATTCGCTGTCACTAGAACAGCATGGGGAAACTGCCCCCATGATCCAAGTGATACGGGAGTTAAGACAAAATTACTTAGGCAGATAGTGAGGGTACAAAAGCCCTAGGTAAGGTTTTCCTTTTAATGAAAAGCCCCAAATCATTTTCCTTTCTAGCAGCCTGTAAAATTGAGCTGCAGACATAGATGCTGGCAGTTGTGCCAATCACGTTCAAAATGGTGGCCCCACGTTCCCTTCTCTGCCAGTCACTTCTACAGTAAGGAGCAGACAAGATGGCACTGGCCAAGGGGAAAGTTCATTTGCATAATAAAATTAGGGTGGAGCTACCATCCTTCCTTCACCCTATGTAAACATCACACCTGATCGAACCAATCTGTGATCCCTAGGTAAATCAGACACCGCCTCCTCAAGCCTGCCAATAAATCCTACATACTCTGCCACCAGCCAGTCTTTTCTTCTCAGAAGTCCCCGCTCTCTCACTAGAGAGAGAGCTGTTTTCCTTTCCCTTTCTCTCTATTAAATCTCCACTCCTAAACTCCTCGTGTGTGTCCATGTCTTAAATATTTTTGGCACCAGACGATGAGCCCCGGGTATTTACCCCAGACAATGTAGCCACTTCGCAGTTACCTCTACCTGGTCCTGCCCTTGACATCTGGGGATTATGGGGATTACAATTCAAGGAGAGAATTGTGCGGAGACACAGAGGCAAACTATATCACTACCTGAAAAAAAAAAAAAGACAAGACGAAAAGAAAAACAATCGAAAATGAAAGAGGAGACATTATAACTGATACCATAGAAATGCAAACAATCATAATAACCTACTATAAATATTTATACACCAACAAATTTGACAAACTATAAGAAACTGATAGATTTCTATACAAATACAACCTACCAAGATTAAATTATGGGCAAATAGAACATATGAACAAACCAATAGTAAGTGAGGGGATTGAATCGTGATAATAAGTCCCTCTTCAAGGAAAATCCCACAACCTGATGACTTGTGGTCTAATTATACCAAATATTTAAAGAGGAACTAACGCCAGTCTTTTTCAGGTTTTTCCATAAATCAAAGTGGGAATACTTTCAAGCTCTTCTTATGAGTCCATTGTTACCCTGATATCAAAACCAGAAAGAACATTACAAAAGAAAGAAAATTACAGACCAATATCCTTGATGAACATGGATGTACAAATCCTCAAAAATATACTAACAAACTGAACTTCAGACCACATTAAAAATATAATCAACCATGATCAAGTAGGATTTAGCCCTAAAATGCAAAGATGTTTCAATATACAGAAATCAATAAATCTGATACATCACATTAACAGAATGAAAGCCAGAAGTCATGTGATCATCCCATTAGATGTAGAAAAAACATTTGAAAAATTCAACATCCTTCCATGATATTACCTCTCACCAAATTAGGTATAGCAGGAATGTACCTCAACACAGTAAAGGTCATTTATGAAATCCCTACAGCTAACATTATACACAACAGTGAAAAATTGAAAGCCTTTCCTCTAAGATTAGGAAAAAGACAAGGATACCCACTCTTGCCTCTTCGATTTAAGATAGTTGTAGATGTCACTACCAGAGCAATTAGGCAAGACAAATAAATAGAAGACTTTCAAAAAGGAAAAGAAGAGTGAAATTGTCACTGCTTGCTGACACTATTATTTTATATACAACAACCTGTTAAGATTCCTTCAAAAGAACTGTTAAAACTAAGCATGAATAAAGTTGTAAGATACAAAATCAGCACACACAAATCAGTAGCATATTTATACACTAGCAAAAAAACTATCTTAAAAAGAAATAGAGATAAAAATCCCATTTATAATAAGTACAAAAAAGTAAACAAAATACTTAGCAATAAATTGAACTAAGGGGGTAAAAACCTGTACACTGTAAGCTATAAAATGTTAATGAAAGAAATTAAAGAAGATGAAAATTAATGAAAAGATATTCCATGTTCAGGCATTAAAAGAATTAATACTGTTTAAATGTCCTTACTACCCAAAACAATCTACAGATTCAATTCAATCTCTATCAATATTCTAATGTCATTTTTCATAGAAATAGAAAAACAATTTCAAAATGCATATGGAATCACAGACACAAAAAAACCTCTGAATAACTAAGGCAATCATGAGCAAAAAGAACAAAGCTGGAGGTATCAGACTGTCTGATTTCAAACTATGGTATTGGGGAAAAAAGTGACACATTAACCAATGATACAGAATAGAGACCCCAGAAATAAACCCACAAACGTATAGTCAATTGACTTTTGACAAAGGTGCCAAGAAGACACAATGAGAAAAATGACAGTTTGCTAAATAAATAAGGTAAAAACTGAATTTCCACATGCAGAAGAATAATTGAGACTCTTAGCTCACACTATAAACAAAAATCAACACAAAATGGATTAAAGACTTAAACATAGGGCCGGGCGAGTTGGCTCATGCCTGTAATCCCAGCACTTTGGGAGGCTGAGGTGGGTGGATCGCTTGAGGTCAGGAGTTTGAGACCAGACTGGCTAACATAGTGAAACCCCATTTCTACTAAAAATACAAAAATTAGCCGGGCGTGATGGCAGGTGCCTGTAATCCCAGCTACTCAGGAGGCTGAGGCAGGAGAATCACTTGAACCTGGGAGGTGGCGGTTGCAGTGAGCCGGGATTGTGCCACTGCACCCCAGCCTGGGCGACAGAGTGAGAATCCTTCTAAAAAAAATAAAAATATTTTTATGTGTCAAATGTTCTTTATTTTTGGTAGTTACGTAATTTTTAAAAATAACCCTGAATGCGGTATTATGTTATTAACACCAATTAAAAGATAAAAAATTTGATTTGTGCTGAAATTACCCATGCTGGCATAGATAATACAAAACTAAATTCACATAGACTCTCATAGCTAATATACCACTGAAAGTGTTAACTCTTGCTATGCAACCAACCACCCTACAACATAGTGGCTTAATATTTTATGGATTTATTGTTCTCTTGTTTCTAGGAGTACGCAGAGCAGTTTACTGATGTGGGCATGTTCTGCTGATCTCTGCTAAATTTGTTCATGAGTCCGGGCCTGGGAATGCTAAGGTCCTCTCCGTGTGTCTCATATTCCTCTAGCAGGCTAGCCCAAGCAGATTCTCTGACTAGCCTATACATATTTTCATATTGATTACACAGAAGCAATAGCAAGCACACTAAATTGTTTAAGAGAATGAGCAGAGATGCATACAAGCTTTCCAGTTTTTGCCATCTCATATTTGCTAGCATCTGATTGGTCAAAGGAAATCACATAGACAAGATAAATCAAAGTGAGACGAGATACAAAGTTATGGGGCAAAGAGCATTCATATTACCTAAATTATGAAAATCAACTGAACTAATAGGCCAATACCTATGTTCTGGTCCCAATTATTCACAATCCTCTATCGTGCAAAAAATACATTTACCTTTCTTAAAACTCTCGGAGTCTAATTTGGTCAATGGCCTTAAGATTCCTAGTAGTAAACTATGGGTGAGATGTTGACTAGAAATCACCTTAATACATTCAGAGGTCTTAAAAAAGGATCTTACAAATCTTATAACCACACTTCTCATTGGAATTTAGTCTCTATTTCCAGAATCATGTGATGTACATCAGACCTGATGTGACTCTTCTTGTTCCAGAAACCCAGGAACTAAAAAATTGTTACATCGTTCTACATATACACTCATGATAAACTGGTGAGATGGACACAAGATAATTACAATTATCATTTACTTTCAAAAAAAGGAAGGAATGGAGGACCACCAGACGTTGCTCAATAGAAAATCCAAACTTCACTTGGGCCAGTATAAAGTTCCCTAGTTCACAGATAGAAAAATTATTTGACCGGACATTGGTTATGCTTTCTATGTGGCTTTTCAGTGTGTTGCTTAAGACACATACATCTGCCCTCTGGAAGATCTTTCGTTTTCCATTGTCTTCCATATTCACTTCTGAAGGAAGCATTGGAAAATATGTCATCGATAAAATTTTTCAACCTGCTTTTGCCTTGTAGATAGTTGGAGATGAAGAATTTCTCTTAAAAAATTAACTAGTTCCAGTCCTTTTTGGTTCACCCATATGGCACCTTCACCTGTACAATTCTCTTAATTGTAATTGTGTGAACCTCCTATGAACTTGAATGGAAAATATCTGATTTGAGAAAAACCACATCTAATGTGTATTTCTCTATATAGACTTAATTGTTTCTATTCTGGGAGTTTGGCTGTTGTGGGAAAATGCCCATGAGATTCCTCAGATGTTTTTGTTTTTGTTTTTGCTTTTTGGGGGGTTTGCTTTTTATTTATTTATTTATTTATTTATTTATTTATTTATTTATTTTATCTAGATAATAGAGTTGACTGTAGATTTTATCATAACACATTTAGATATCTTTTTTTTCTGAAGCAGAGTTTTGCTCTTCTTGCCTAGACTGGAGTGGAATGGCATGATCTTGGCTCAATGCAACCTCTGCCTCCTGCGTTCAAGCGATTCTCCTGCCTCAGCCTACCGAGTAGCTGGGATTACAGGCGTGCACCACCATGCCCAGCGAATTTTTTTTTGTATTTTTAGTAGGCATGGGGTTTCACCATGTTAGCCAGGCTGGTCTTGAACTCCTGACCTTGGGTGATCTGCCCCGCCTTGGCCTCCCAAAGTGCTAGGATGAGCCACCGTGCCTGGCCTAGATATCTTAATAACAAATTATTGCGGAAACTTAGTTTAACTTTTATCCTGAGTGTGTGCCCTTTTGTTTTTAACAGCTTGAGAGGATGGAGATGTTAATCAGTTTTAATTTCTATTCTAAATACACTCACTCTAAATTCCATTTCTAAGTGTGTCAGTTTTCTTTTAACTTATCTCTTTCTTGTAACCTCTTATAACATTTTGAGCAACTTTCTGACCTTTTAACATTCTGCTAGAAAATGTTTAAAATGTTTTTAAATATCTGAAAGTGAATTTGCTAAACTGTTCTAATTTCCCACCTATCACTACATACATTTTTAACAAACGCTTTAAATTACATAACATGGATTGCTATTGGAGGCTAGTTTTCTATTCTTCTAGAATGTTTAAGCATTTTTTAACCTCTGCTAATAATTTACTAACCCTTTCTCTAGCCTGTACTAACAAATTGCTAAGTGTCATTGCTAGTTTTCTAGCCTCTGCATGCTACCTGATCCCAAAGCTAGCATCACATATTTGGGGTTTTGTTCTAAGATTATGTCTCCTATGGTACTGATTTTATGTCTATGAACCAACTGTGTAACAAAGCACCCCCCAAAAAAATCTATCTGTTGTTTCTCTCAATCCTGTTGTACTGATTATGTCCAAGATCAACTGACCTCAACTGGGCTTGCTTATATATTCATAGTCAACTGACTGGTTAGCTGGGTACTGACTGTTCTAGGGTGGCTTTGGATAGTACAATTGGGCTTTCCTCCGCATGTACATCAGCTATCTTTTCCTCCCTGTAACAAATCATCCCCAAGCTTAGAGGCTTACAACATCCACCTTTTGTGATCCAATTTTGTGGATCAGCAATTTGGGCTATGCTTCATCCATCTTATATGAGGTTTCCCAGTGGCTCAGTGAAGTCCAGATAGCCTAATATTGCCTCACCCCCATGCCTGGCAGTTGGTGCTGGCTGCAGTGATTCTTCTTTTCTCCCAAATTGCTCTCTCAACCTCAGAGAGGCTAGTTTTTCCTTCTTCACATAGTAGTCACTGCATTGCAAGAAAGTGAGAATGAATGCTGACAGGTATATGGAGGTGCAGCTTGGAAGTCACACAACTCCTTCTGTGTTGTTAACGGCAAGTCACAAGCCGAGCCATATTCTTGAGGTGATGAAACACATTCCGCTTTTTGATGGGAAAAGCAGCAAAGAGCTTCAGGCCATTTTAATCTGCAACAACTTGTCTTGCAAATCCCCCCTGAAGCCTGGCAATTGTGGAGAAGCAAGAGAGAGCAAACCCAATGGTATAAGCATGAAAGCAGAAATTCACTCATGTTTCAAGCCTGTTTACATCCCACTTGTTAACTTCCCACTGGACAAACCAAGTGACCTGGCAAAGCCTCATGTCATGAAGAAAACTATCAGCTTATAACAGGTGTATAAAAAAGTCAGCCATTGAAACAACACAAGCAATCCACCACTACTACCAAGTGGTGAAGATAAAGTTCAGACATCGCTCTACTTCACTACAAAGCTGAAATCAGACACACACACCGTAAGGCATAATTTAAGGATTGTTACTTTAAGAACAGTTTCTTCAATTTAAATTATTTTCCACAGATGGAAGAATATAAACTATAGTTTTGAAAGTCAGAGAAAGATATACAGGATCAAATCCCAATTCTACAATAACTGTTTGATGTCAGGCAAGTTAATGAAACTCTCCCACGCCTCAGTTTTCTCATCTATAAAAAATGTTATTCATACCCTATCTCAATGATTTCTTATAAAGTTTAAATTAAATAATGATGGATCATGAGGTCAAACATTTTAATATATTTTCTTTTACTGTTCTATCCCAGAACCTAGAGGATTCTTGAATCATTGTTATTCTCATGCCATTTAGATAATGACCTTTTTAGGTACCAGTCCTAATTGTCCTTCAGCCATATTGACCTACATCTATTTTATTAAACATCCCAGCCTTTTCTCAATGATCCCCTTTGTCTCTTTCTCAAAGGACTGTTTCTCTTTATTATGCTCAGAGCTCACTCATGTTAGAAGGGACACTTTCTCATCAAAGTATTTTCTGGCCCCCAACCCCTGTAAAGTGTGCTGCATCCATTTTTACATTTGTTTAGAGCCTAGAGATTTCTAGCACAGCTCCTTTTAAACTTTGCACTGTTTATTTATTCATATGACTCTGATCTCCATCCAGACTCTGAATTTCCCTAGGGAAGACACTGTATCTTTTTTCTTTCTTTTTTTTCCTCTCTCTAAGGTTTTGAAGAGTTAGAATTTGGCAAGATTTCAGTATGGAATTATTTTCTTTCATTTTTAGTCACTACCTTCAATCATGTTCTGTGGAATTTCTCATCCCTACCCCTTCACATTGCATTCTGGTCCATGCCTCTGGGCTGATTTTCAGTTGCTAGTCATGCTGGGTACACTCTCACATCCCCCGCACTCCTCCCTCCTGTTCAGGCAGGATATCCAGCCCCTCTTCTTCTCCTCCCCTCCCTCTTCTGGTTTTGCTTCCTCGGGTGTGGAGGTGAAGAGGAGGACACACTGGTCTCTGAAAATAGCTCTCTTTTAGGGCTCTAGGAAAAGCCATGAAGCCCAACCTGGGCAAAGAACTGCTCTTCCCCACAGCAGCCTTGAGGATGAGGACTGTGGGGGTGTGGTGAAGTGTCAATGGGGCCAACCGAAGCCAAATTACACACCACTTCCGAAGATCTGGAGGCAGGATGTGAATTGTAGCGAATCACATGCTTTTTAGAACAACAATTCTGAAGTAATTTTGCCTGCATGCTGGAATCACCTGGAGAATATTACAAAGCACTCCAAATGTTGGGATGTAAATTTTTGTTGTGCAGACTGGGTATCAAAAATTAAACAAAACAAATCAACAACAAAAGCAAAAAACTTCCTATTTGGTTCTAATGTGTTGCTCAGCTGGAGAGCCATAGCTACAGAAGGTGATGTTGCTTAAGGTCTTTTCTTGCCTCAGTTTGTCTTTGTAAGCAATGGTAGGGGACCCAGAAAACATCCCATTAAACATTCCATTATGACTCTATCCTTCAAATCTACACTGCCCTTGATCCCAGGTAAGTCCTTGATAAATGCTTATTGAGAAAAGCAATGCGTATTTTTTCTACTACAGTGTCAGTTTGGGAAAGAAATTCGGTTGATTTGTTTAAATTGTCTACCTCACACACTTTCCCCTGCAGAGACTTGCACATAATAGGGACATAATCAACACAGACTTGAAATAGAATGTGGACATTGTCACTGCTTTTATTTTAGTGGCATTAATCACACTGCAGGAAAAAAACCATAAAGATCACTTATGAGTGCAGCTTTTTACCATTTACAAAACTTTTTTTTTCAATTTTAGTGTCTATTCTGATCTTACATCATTCTAAGTGTGGTTTTAATTTTTTCTTTTAAAACATAAGAGAGAGTTGAGGCTAGGAAAATGTAATGACTACGTACCTGGTAGTTCAGAGTTAGTAAGTGTACAACAGAGAATTGAACCCTGACCTATCACTTCCAATTATATGTCACTTCTAGAATGCTTAGCCATTAGTTCCATTGGCTTCTACACACGTTAACTTCTTTCATTTTCTTTTTAACCAAAACTTCCGTAAAAGTTCCACAGGGAAATCTGCTTCCTTTGGTGGGACTATGACACATTTGGCGGGTACAATGAACAGCAACCAACCTAACAACTGGGAAAATAATTTTAAAAAGACAATTATATGATAACTACCCACAAGATGTTATCATCAAGCAAGTATTGCTAATATGGGCCCTTTGCAAATGTAACTTATTGTCTCATTAGGAAAGCCCAAAGAAAGAAAAAGGAAATTAATCCAAAATTAGAAGTTAATTAGAAATGTGTGATGAATTGCATGTTGCAGATATACAGATATTAAACAGAAAATGTGAATGTTACACAGTTATTAAGGAAAATATATGCCTTTTATTATATTTGAGGGAAAAAGATGATGTGCTAATCATAACTCATTTAAGATTGCACCTTCAATGAAAGCTGAAATAGGCATAATGCCAAGGTTTATTCAAACAATGTCCGTTCAATAGCTCAGGATGAGATGAGTTTCTTCAGAAATGTGAGGTAACCAGCTTTAAATATAATAAGATGGAGACCAGTCATGGGACTTCTCACAGCAGAGAAAGCCACATTGAGATGGACTGGAGACAGGACTCAGCCCACCCGCACTGGCCCGAAACCCCCTGAGACCTTGCAAAATATCTGAGAACGCTAAGACACGCAACACTGGCTACAAATCTTACCCAAGGCAGGGGATCCTACCATCATGCACACAAGACCGGGAGGTTGATGGCCCTAACATTTAACTCATTGTAATACTAACATCTCCCCCACTGTTTTCTAATCATGCCATGCAATGCATGTGTTAGCATGATTTCTCACTGGGCCTGTGCACCAGCGCTCTACCCACCACATGTAAGGATGCTTACTGAGCTCATTACTTACTTATGGTACCCTCCTCTAGATACCACTAGGACCCACCTTGGGGAGCCAACTAGGAAACCCTTCCTCCTGCACTGTTTCCCTTAGCTCCAACCTTTCCAGGCATAAGTGTTCAAAATCTTGTCTAGGAAAAGTGTGCCAGACTTCATGTTAATTTCTATTGCATTGAAAGCCAAGAACGTTGTGTTAGCAACAACGTGAACAAGCCAGCTTAATTTCTGAACATAAGCAAAACTTAACTTTGGTTATTTCTTGTAAAGTCTCTAATAATCATAAAGAAAACTTGAGTTGCCTTCCAAAAATGGCATAAAGCAGTCATCTTTAACAAATCTCCTGCTATCAGGAAACCGTCATTGTAATAACTAATCATTGTAAAGGTTAAATGATTTCTTCATTTTTACTTTATAAACCATCCTGTAACTGTGCTTCTGAGCCTCTCACCACTTTCAGTTTAACGTCTCCTGGATCACAATGTACCCTCCTTAAAGAAAAGATGATACAATTTTACATTTTCTAAGTGGATCTGATTTTATTTTTGACATCAACAAAGTAGACCTTACATTTAATATTTCGAAATAAAATTAGGAAGCTAGACTTTGCAAAACAGAATAATAATAATTACTGTTTCAGTTTAATGTCTCCTGGATCACAGTGTACCTTCCTTGATGACAAGATAATAAACTTTTACATTTTCTAACTGGATCTGATTTTATTTTTGACAACAGAAAAGTAGACCTTACATTTAATATTTCAAAATAAAATTAGGTAGCTAGACTTTGCAAAAAAATAAATTAAAGGCTTGGAGTTAAATGTAAATATCAGGTAAGCAATTTTTCCATATTTTTAGTATATGTTCTATGCATATTATAGACATATTTATACCAAGAATTTTATTATCCGAAATTTAACTTTGAGGCTGCATTTTATCTGACAACCCTAAAATGGGGTCAAGAACAATAAACTTTCTAATACAAATCCAATCAATGTCCTCTTAAACATTGTTCTTCATTTGGGCATGATATGATGTTAAATGAGGAATATCTGTGGAAGAGGAATTCAAGCAGATTCAAGTGAAGGACACTTATTTTCTCACTTTGAATCTATTATTATTCATTACTGTATTAACTATGTTTTCTCGTTTTCTGTATTCATGATGCTCTGGCATCTGGGGGCTTGCTGACTCGGGTGAGATTCCCCCCACCCCCACAGGGCTAGCTAATTCAGAGAAAGAGCAAACAACTGGCCTGTGAGTTCACCTTTCATGTACAAACAAACCAAACTGGAGCCCACACCCCTCAACTGCCTCCTTTATTGACCACTCACACATCACACCCTGCCCTCATCAGCCCAGGGCCAGACACCGGACAACTGGGGATAGTCCCTATTCTGTGGCCTACTGTGCTTGTCAGCTAGCCAATCCTAAGCCTGCTCACTCTGACTCCTGTGTTTCTTCCAACAGAAACAACAGTAAAAATGTGGTCCAGGCCTGGCGCGGTGGCTCACACCTGTAATCTCAGCACTTTGGGAAGTCAAGGTGGGCAGATCACGAGGTCAGGAGTTCAAGACCAGCCTGACCAACATGATGAAATCCCATCTCTACTAAAAATACAAAAATTAGCCGGGTGTGGTGGCATGTGCCTGTAATCCCACCTACTCAGGAGGCTGAGGCAGGAGAATGGCTTAAACCCAGGAGACAGAGGTTTCAGTGAGGCGAGATTGCACCACTGCACTCCAGCCTGGGTGACAGAGCGAGACTCCATTTCAAAAAAGAAAAACTGTGGTCCATACTCCCCCGCCCCTCTGCCTTCTGACTCACCTGCTGCTTCCCCACGTGTGGCCCTGCATGGCGTGCCTTGCCTCTTGTTTCCAAGAACCTAAGAGTATAACAACTTCTTCCTTCACGACACTCACGTCCATTTCTAATCAATCCTGGGTATATTTTTACTAAGTATATTAGTAGGAGAAGGTTAAATCCCTTTTTAAAAACCAAAAATGTTAACCTAGAAAGAACCTATCATAATTCTCTCAGAAAAGGGCTACATTTATGCAGAAGAAAAATGTGGGAGACGTAATATTGAGCCCTCGCCCTATCAGAGCTGGCTGTGGGATTCTAGCAACTCCCATTTCTCTTCCTCTATAATTCAGTTGAAACAACACAAAAAAAGCCAATATAAAAAAAAACCATTAAATACAGCGCGCTACCCATATAAAAAGATATAGGAAAACACTTTCTGTCTTACTTTTGTCAATTACAGGCCTTCACACCTGGTTGCCGCTCTACCTGCAATAATCTTCTTGCATGCTTTTATGGCTACTCCTAGTACAAATCCTTCATGTTTAAGTGCTGCTTGTATCCTTACTTTCGTATAGATGCCCCTTCAATATTCTCTTAATGCATCTATTTCCCCATAATTGTCTTAACCATGGTTATATTTTCATGCATAAACAATGTCTTTCATGCATTATTGGAATAAAACTAAAAACACACTTTATTTTTGTTCCACTCTCTCCTTAAAATTCATGCAGAGAGGAAAGTCTTTTCTTCTTGGTTTTATTAAAAAAATAAATGGGCAGATTTGATGACTTTTTCCTCACTCCTAGGTAATTCATTATCTTAAATTCACTTTGTCATAAAACACTCTCATTCTACAAATTAAAATGTCCAACTTTTTGTAAGAAAAAAAATCTAAACTTGTTTTAAACGTCAGTGTTCTTCCCATTCCCATCTGAGTTCCTGACAGCCTCACCACGCACAGTTGATGGGAGAGGTGAAGAGTGTCTTTTCTTCTTTGTTCCTTTATTTACTGGAACTTTACTGTTCTATCTGGTCCCTGTGAGGTCTGAGCATAGGCAAGGGGAAGGGGAAAGAGATAGTGCGAGTTTTCACTGAATGATTGTTTTACATTTTCCCTATAGATATAGAAAGCCTTTTCTCTGATGGGCAATTGCTGGAAACTGCTCTCTCTGACTTAATATTATTTTCTTTATTACATGTATCACTAATGCAAGAATTTTGTGCATATCTTTCTAGAGCCTTTAAGAAATTGACATTAGCCTTGAGCTTCTTTTCTCCACTCAGTAGTTTGATTGGACAAGACACAAAAGACCCAGTTGGATCTCTAATGCTTAGTCCATGGTGCATCATTAAAAATCCCATAGGGGACATACTCTGGGAAGGATGCTGGATCCCTAGACAGACGCAAATCTACTGGCCTTTACAACAGGCACTTAGTCCTTCTCTTGCCCTGAGGATTATGTGAACAGCAGTTTGCCCCCCATGCACTAAGCCTCCCAACTGCGAAGTCAGCTACTTTTCTCTTTAATAAATCCCATTGATGTTTTGCTCCCCTGCATCACTAGCTTCAGGCCAGGACTCCTTAAAAGGTGAGACTCAGGGCACTTCAATGGCACCTCCGAAATCCTTTAGTTGGCTGCACTTTGCCTATGTTTTCTACCGGACTTTACTCTGTGAAGGCATCACTCATAGTCCATACTTATCCTATTTATTATAGAGAGTTGTTGTGTGTAATATATTGCCACATACATTGCTAATGTCTAACGCATAGTTTAAACATTGATCAATTTATTAAACATTTTCGTTTGCAGCAAGTTATTAAAACTTGATAAATATCCAAGTATAAATAAATAAACATAGAAATAGTTAACTTACAAAGTATCACAGGCAGCCAGCCACCAAACATTTTGCCAATTTAAAAAGCAATATTGTTTTTAGAGGTAAATATTAGGCACTAAGAATGTTTTATGTATCTCAATCATCAATGTATCAGGAAATCACTATGAAAATTAGGTCATAAGAACATTTTAAAAATTTAAAAGTTCACTCAATATAATACACATAACTGACCCATATTTAAAGAGTCAATCTTGCTAAATTATCTAATTAACTATTTTATTAAAGGTAACTTTTGATTTTTAGGAGAATATCTTATTTTAACATGTGCATTCTTTGTTAGTGAAAGAATAGATTATTACAAACCGACTAAACACCAAATTGGCAATATAATTCAACTCCTATCTCTACATTTATAATTTTATTTCTCAGAATTCAACCCAGATAATTCAGTAGAAACACATTTTAAACAAAGATTGATGTACAGGTATCTTTATTGTAGCACAATGCATAATACATAAAATTGCATAGCAAGGAAATATTTAAACATATTATGTTAAGTTCATACAATGAGATGCTACATAGCAAAAATGCTGTCTTGGACAGGTGTGGTGGTTCACAGTTGTAATTCCAGCACCTTGGTAGGCCAAGGCAGGTGGATCACCTGAGTTTGGGAGTTGGAGACTAGTCTGGCCAACATGGTGAAACGTTGTCTCTACTAAAAATACAAAAATTAGCCAGGCTTGGTGGCACATGCCTGTAATCCCAGCTACTTGGGAGGCTGAGGCAGGAGAATCGCTTGAACCCGGGAGGCAGAGGTTGCAGTGAGCTGAGATCGCGCCATTGCACTCCAGCCTGGGAGACAGAGCGAGACTATCTCAAAACAACAACAACAAAAAAACAAAAACAGACAAACAAACAAACAAGTGCAGTCCCTACCGGTACTAAAATTTTGATCCGATTCCCAGATAATACTACATTTCAATGTGCGTGCGTGCATATGCATGTACGTGGGGTTTGGAAGGTGCTGATGTTTTAGAAAGAACTATAGATATCATCTATATCTATGTTATATTCTGATATTTTCTCCTTATTGCATTGCATTGTTTTCTATTCCATCCTATTTATGTTCCTTACAATAGTCCTGTAGGTCAGATAATAGACCCATTGTACAGATGAAAGAATCACTGAACGAAAAGTAGAGAGAGACCTTTCTATAACTTAAGTCTCAACCTCCAAGTCAATTTACTAATGTTATTCTATGGGCTTTGGAATTAAATAAATGTTTTCTGATTTCCACTGTACTAAGTTTCTGAGTAAGCAATGAATAGATAAAACAGTCTTTTCCCTCATAGAGTTTTACTATGGAAGAGAGGTGTGTGACTAGTAACTGCAGTGGAGTTAAGTAGTAACAATTAACTACCTGTCATGACATAGAATGATGAGTCAAAGAAATAAGTCATCAAATACAAATATTCTTCCCCTTTGAACTGTGTAATTATGAGCTATTTGATGGACACTGGTGCTTCTTCAAACATTTTTAAAGTAGGAAGTAGGAATAATACCTACATGATTAAATGTTATAATGATTAACAGAGGTCATTTCTGTAATTAAATTAGCACCGAAGCTGATCATATGTGGACTGTAAATGCTAGTCCTTTGCCCCTTTGAACTGGATTAAAGATGCACCTACCATTTCCTGGACTCACAAATCAGCTGAAGTATGTGAAGAAAAAAAAAAAAGGTAAAAATAAAGCACATCAGTCAAAGAAAGCAGCAGAAAGAATTATAAGCTATTATTCCAGAGCCAATTTAGTCTCCATTTATTTGACAGATTGGCACCTTGTAAATATGTCACTTGTCATAATTGGGCTGTCAGAATCACGATTTGGCCTCACACAAATGGCTTTTCTAATACAGTAACCTGCTCTTTCCTTCTGCACAGGCATGTGTTGCCTTTCTACCCCATACTGTGTCCTTGTGGACATGGTGAGGGAGGACAGGATTCTACGTGGTTCAGTAGAGTAGCTCCAGTGCTTGAATTCGCTTTGTAGTAGCTTTCTTGGTCCTTTACTAAGCTGGAAGTGAGCTTTTACATTCTAGTGTACAGTACCAAGTTTGCATTCAGTAAGTTTTCCTTTATTTCCTGGGTAAGATGACAATGAGCCTATCTATGTTGCTTTCTACCACTCGATTTCAATTAGAATGGCAAACAGAAAAAAAAAGAATATAAAGATGGGAGTAAAATGTTTGTATATAGGAGTATCCGTATTTAATTCTTCAGGATGTTGACAAAACAACAAAAACTACCACTGATTTCTGATTTGTAAACTAAGTGAGTGGCTACATTACATCAGAGGATGTTGTAATATTCCAACTTACTACTTTTTCTGAGAAAGGGCATATGCCCAGGAGATAAGTGGAAGTGCCTGAGGATAAACCATCTTACAACTCCCTCTTAGAGGGAAATGTGGGGGAGCCAGGTGGAGGGGCAGGGGGTTAGGAGGTAGGGTGCGGGGTAAAACATTTAGAGAACAAATGAACTCCCACCTGCCTTGGGCAAGTCCCAGGGATCAGGCTTGGAATGTGTTTGTGTGTGAGTAGAGGAGGAGGTGGGATGAGGCTGAAGGACAACAAGGAGAAAGTGAATGGGTGAAGGAAAAAAAAGTATTTTGACATGAATAAGTGAACTTCATTAAACATGGCAAAGGAAAAGAAGAGGCAACTTGTACTGGAGAGAATGCCTATGGCCCCAGGTATCTCTCAGCTTTCATAGACTGATGCAGTCATGAACGTCTGGTTTGCATTAACAGAATGTCTGAAAAATCCACTCATAAAGAAAACAGCATGTGGTTCCATATTAGTAGTTGGTAAAACCTTTTTAAAAAGCTATAAACCAAGTTCCAAATTTACAAAAGAAAGATCACCAAATGTAGGAAAATATAGCTCTTTGGAACCACCATTCTAAAGAAGAAAGACCCTTTGAATATTCAGAGTAATGTTTTATTGTCAAAAGAATTAAGGTACATACACAGGAAGTTTTTTAAAAGCTGAGTAGAGTTCTCAACAAATGAAAAGGAGGACATTGTTTCTTAAAAATAAAAAAGAGAGAAAGTCGTTGTTAAAATGACTTAAAATCAGGAAAGATTGTAAGAGCTTTACAATCAGATGAACTATTACAAACTGTAAGGCTATGAAAAAAAATATTGCATGCTGAAACCTTTAGAAAACTTGTCAAAATAAGAAATCAAGCTTTCAATTTTCTCCCAAACATAAAAGTAGAAACTGCTAAAGAATTGAATAGCTATGAAAAAGAATATGAGCTATTAATGAGAGAATTATGGTATGACACAACAGAGATAACAGAATAAACAAAACAGAAACATTGATTGAAGAATCGTAGAATAAAACTTTATCAAGGTTTTAGCAAAGTAACTTGTACCAGACTCTTTTTTGCAGTAAACAACTATAAAAATGGGAAAACAATATATAAGGCAACAGTTTATTCGCACTGGAAAACAGGCTTTGATTGTTAAGAGGAGACGAACTCATCAAATGATGTCCATGCCAGTCCAGCCTTCTGCCAGGGATAATGTCTCAACCATGCCGACGAGAACAGTCAAACTCTGTGAAACCAAATTATCGTCAATGAAAACAGTCTAACCCTGTAAAATATTTGAAGAGGTTTATTCTGAACCAAATATGAGTGACCATGGCCCTTGACACAGCCCTCAGGAAGTTATGAGAATATGGGCCCAAGGAGATCAGGGTGCAGCTTTGTTTTAGACATTTTAGGGAGACATGAGACATCAATGAAATACATTTAAGAAATACATGGTTTGGTCCAAAAAGGTGAGACAACTGAAAGCCTGGGCAGCTAGGGGGGTGGGGAGAGCTTCCAGGCTATAGGTAAATTTAAACATTTTCTGGTTAACAATTGGTTGAGTTTGTCTAAAGACCTGCGATCAACAGAAAGGAATGTCTGGGGTTGCGATAACAGGTTGCAGAGACCACAGTTTTACTATACAGATGAAGCTTTTAGCTCACAGGCTTCAGAGAGAATAGGTTGTAAAATGTGTCTTATCAGACTTAAAGTCTGTGTTGATGCAAATGCTGGAGAGGTATAATGAGGCATGTCCATCTCCCACTTTCCTTCATGTCCTGAACCAGTCTTTCAGGTTAAATTTTAAGAGCCCTGGCTGAGGAGGAAATCCATTCAGATGGTTGGGGGGCCTTAGAATTTTATTTTTTGTTTACAATTGATACGCAAGAAGGGCAGGGAAGTGCTGGGAGGAGATGGGCAGGATCCCTGGCATGGGCTCTACCCTCCAGCCTGTGCCCAGGGACCGAGGTAAAGACAGGGACTCCTGCCTTTGTGCCCAAATATTGCATTTTCCAAGACCACTCTGGCCTTCCATGCCTTTGTCCTGTCCTATAAAAGCCCCAAGACCCTAGAGGGCACAGACACAAGCGGCTGGACGTCAAGAGGAGCACACTGGTGGAAGAGCACAACGACAGGCCCTGGCAAATGCCAGCCGTCAACAACTGAACGATGTGAAGTTTGGCCAGGACAGTCAGAGGAGAGCCCAGCTGCTGGGCGGCCTGACTCCAGGGGAAAACCACCTTCCCACACCATCCCGCTTCTGGCCTGCCATCCACCTCACTGAGATCCACCACCACTCAGTAAAAAATCTTGCACCCATCCTCCAAGCCCACACGTGATCCAATTCTTCCGGTACACCAAGGCAAGAACCTGGGATACAGAAAGCCCTCTGTTCTTGTGATAAGGCAGAGGGTCTAATTGAGCTGATAAACACAAGCTGTCTATGGATGGCTAAACTGAAAGAGCACACTGTAACACATGCCCACTGGGGCTTCAGGTGTAAACATTCACCCCTAGACACTGCCATGGGGTCAGAGCCCCACAACCTGCCAGTCTGCATGCTTCCCATAGAGGTTTGAACAGCAGGACACTGAAGAAGTGAGCCACATACCCATTGCACGCCCTGCAAGGGGGATTAGGAAACTTTTCCCATTTCACAACCACATCAAAATCAGCTTTGCTCTAAGAAGTATATGACTGCTCCCTCGAGCTAAGGAGGCAAAGATAAGAGTCTGGGGAAGTAAAGTAGTTGAAATCTGTAATGCAGAACACTAGAGACAAAGAGTTCTTCAGGGGCACCGAAAGTTATATTTGGTCACTCATGAGTGGCTGGAGGGCTGGCAGGAGATGAACTGGATGAGAATGTACAAGGTTACCTAGAGAGCAGCTGCAGGGCTGAGCATAGAACAGACACTAGGGTTTGGGTAACACTGAAATATGCCCCAGTTCTGACTGAGACAAAATGTAGAGATACATTAGTGTCTATTGTCACATGTGTCAGCCTGTTTGTGTTGCTACAAAGGAATACCTAAGATGGGGTAGTTTATGAAGAATGAGGTTTATTTGGCTCATGGTTCTGCAGTCTATACAAGAAGCATGGTGCCAGCATCTGCTTCTGGTGAAGGCTTCACGGAGCTTTCAATCACTGTGGAAGGGAAAGAGGAGACAGCGAGTCACGTGGCAAGAGAGGGAGCAAAAGAGAGGGGGTAGGTGCTCTGAACTTTTAACCAACCAGCTCTCATGTGAAGAAACAGAGCAATAACTCATCCATTACCACAGGTGGGAGCACCAAGCCATTCATGTGGGATCTGCCTTTGTGACCTGAACACATTCCACCAGGCTCCACCTCCAACATCCAGGCAAATTGAATGAGATAAGTTTACAAAATTTGTGATTTAACATGAGATTGGAGGCAACAAACACCATTCTGCACATGCAAGCAGGCCACCAGAAATGTCAAGCCTTAAAAGAAGAGCAAGACCCTAAAACAAGATTTTGTCTAGACATCTTCAAACAAAGCCGAAAACTAAGCCTTTAGATCTGCCAGAAAGACAGAATATGAAGGTGAAGCTCTACCCAGTTTTGGAGCCCAAGAAGCATCTTGGGCTTTCACAGCTCTGCCCAGACAAAGGGTAAAGCTAAGCCTTTACAAGTTCAAGGTGATAATTTAGTCACTAAACTGCTTTCTTGAACAAATTATCAACAGCCTGCAGAGGAAGATAACAGAATCCATTGTATAAACCACATTGTACTACATATAGTCAAATATTACTAAACATCCAAAGAAAAATGAAAATGTAACCATGTATAGGAAAAAATAAGCCAGTAAGAAACAAACCTGATGTATCCAGAGGTTGAATTTAATATGTATTTTGTAAAAGCTTTGTTCACAAAATTAAAGAAGAATTTGTTAATATTAGTTATCTCTTGCTGCAAAACAAATTACTCCAAACCTCAGCAGGTAAAAAGCCACAAACTTGCGTTATTTCATAGTTTCTATGGATCAGTAATTTTGGCACAGCTTAACTTGTTCCTCTGCTTCAGGGTACCTCACAAGACTACCAATTATTGGCAAATACTGGGATAACACCTAAAGACTCAACTGGGGAAAGATCTGCCTTTCAGCTATAAAAATGGGTTTTGGCAGCATTCAGTTTTTTGTGGGCTGTTGAAATGAGAACCTGGGTTCCTGGCCGGCTGCTGGCTGGAGGTCGCTCTCAGTTCTGTGCTATGTGTACCCCTCCAACATGGCCACGTGCTTCATCAAAGTCAGCAAGACAGAGTGTCTGCTAGCAAGATGGAAATCACAGTATTTTCTAAACTAATCTTGGAAATGACATCTTATATTTTTGGCTATATTTTATTGATTAGAAAAAAAAGTTATAAAGTATGTCCACATTCAAAGAGAGGACATTATAACAAGGGCCTCAATAGTGAAAAAGAAAAGGTGCCGATAATTGGGTGCTATCTTAGAAGCTGACGTATAATATTAGCCAACAGAGAATGCAAATTAAAATTACAGAGAAATACCAGTTCACAACCAATGAGTGGCTAAAATTAAAAAGACTGTAAACACTACATGTCAGGGGGTATATGGAGCAGTTACAGTAGCAATTTCATACTGTAAACCAAAAATAAAATTCAAAGATCCACCCCAACCATCTGAACGCACTTCCTCCTCTAGGCCAGGACACTAAAACTTAACCTGAAAGACTGGATCAGGCCATGACAGAAGTAGGGATTCGGAGGTGGCCTCATTATGCCTTCCTCCCTTTTGGAATTCAAGAAAAGCTGACCAGCATTTAACATTAACATGGACCTTAAGTCTGATAAGAAACATTTACAATTTATTCTCTCTGAAGCCTGTGGCCTAGGGGCTCCATCTGCATGATGAAATTTTGATCTCCATAATGTTTTATCATAACTCATACATTCCTTTCTATTGATAATCATTATTTCAACCAATTACATATCAGAAAAATTTTAAATCTACCTATAGCCTGGAAGCCACTTCTTTCAGTTGTCCTGCTTTTCTGGACAGAACCAATATGTATCTTCAATGTATTTGATTGATGTCTCGTGTTTCCTGAACATGTATAAAACCAAGATGTACCCTGAACACCTTGGGTACATGTTCTCAGGGTCTCCTGAGGGCTGTATCATGGGCCATAGTCACTCATATTTGTCTGAGAATAAATCTCTTCAAGTATTTTATAGAGTTGGACTCTTTTTGTCAATAATACACTGTTGGTGGATGGAGGAAATGGTATAACACTTTGAAAAAAACAGTTTAGCAGTTTCTTATAAAGTTAACTGAACATTTATCATGTAACTCAACAATTGAATTTTAGACACTTACTCAAAGACTTGTGCATAGATATTCATAGTGGTTTTATTAATAATATCAAAAACTAAAAGTAACCAAAATACTTCTCAACTGGTAAAATAATAAATATAGTAGAACACAAATAAATAATTAAAAGAGCAAGCCATTGATACATGCAATGTCATTGGTAAACTACAAAACCATCATTTTGAGTGAAAGGACCCAGCAATAAAAGTATGTGTATTTCAGGATTTCATATGGATAAAATTCATGAACAGGCAGAATTAAGCTTTTCTGAAGGAATATGTATTGTTGAATGCTTGGGTCAGAGTTGTAAGAGTTGAATGGGTAAAAACATAAAGTGACTTACTGGAGTGATAAGAATGTTCTATATTTTGATTTAGAGCTATTAAATGAGTGTTTACCTTTGTCAAAGTTCAGAAAACTGTTGACTTGAACGAATTCTTTTTTAACACATCTAAATTACATCTTCATAAAATTACTCTAAAATCTGTGTAGAGGGTTATAAGATCAAAAACTCAAACAGTAAACACATCTCAAACAAACATAAATAAAATAAACACAATCTTAGATATAATTCTGTGAAATTTTGAATTAAAAATTGTTAACATCCTTCTAGAGATAATCCACAGGTCAACCATGAGGGGAATGAGGAAGAGTCTGGCTTTAGAGCAGTAGTTTTTCTTCAACACCAAACACCAGAAGACAATAAGGTCACAATATAACAGTGTGTGAGACCCCTTAAATACATCCTTAGACAAGTGGTCATTAATATGTCAAAGGAATATTTTCAGATAAGCAGCTCTCTAAAAGTTTATCACCAATGTCTGCTGCATCATTAACTCTAGGCAGAATTGTAAATAGAGAATCCACCATACAGAATTATTTGAAGGCATGCAACATGGTTGCTTTGGAATATTCCTATGCCTTTTCTCAAGAGAAAGATATAGATATAAATACAGATACAGATACATAGATATATATGTTTATATCTATTCTCTACATAGTATATATGTCATAGGTTTGTGTGTGTGTATATGTGTGTGTGTATATATAGATATACACATTCTAGCTACTAAAATGTTAATCTCTTTGAAAAATGGAAATAATTATATAAAAGCACTATAAAACATAAGACATAATTTTATGTAAAACTTTTGTACATAGATATATATTGTATAACACATAATATAGAAAATAATTTTGAAATAGAAACAAATAACATAGCAGTCAATAACCTTGGTTATTTAAAAAAGAGAAGAAGACATGGAAAGAAAACAAAAAATCATGAAAGTAAAATCTTGATAAATTCTTCATGTTACTCGAAAAGAATTATTTTTAGAGACTAGTAATCAGAAATCAGTGAAATTAAATATATTAGAAAATATAAATCCAATATTAATGAAATTAATGATATGGTATAATACTTCTCAGTAGGTTGAAAGCAAATAACCCACTTAACCCATCAAACAAAATCATGGATTAAAAGCAAACAAACAAAAAGCAAAACCCCAAAACTCTAAGTATTTGTTAGATTCTGCATATAAGTGAAATCATGCAGTATTTGTCTTTCTGTGACTGGCTTATTTCACTTAGCATAATGTTTTCCAGGTTCATCCATAGTTTTACAAATGGCAGGAATTCCTCATTTTGTAAGGTAGAATAATAGTACATTATATGTATATATGCCACATTTTCTTTATCCATTCATCTGGTGATGGTTGTTTCCATATCTTGGCTATTATGAACAATGCTGCAACGTACATGGGAGTGCAAATATCTCTTTAAGGTACTGATTTTATTATAATACCTTTGGATATATACCCAGAAGTAAACGTACTTAAGTAAAAGCATATTAGTCTTGCCTATAATATACTATTAAACAGAAAATAGAAAATGTTTAAAAAGTTAAAATTGTAACCTATAATTAAAAAGTACATTTTAAAAACTTTTTGAATTCTTAAAATAGAGTAGCTGTTTGTAGTTTTATACTTATATATCACTAATAGTGAGAGTTGATATTATATTTCTATGCATAATTGCAATTTGCTCTTATTTTTGAATATCTGTTTTTTGCCCATTTAAAAAATCTATTAGTTTATAAGCATTTCTATTCATAGTTGTTAAATGTCTGGAATTGGAATGAAATAAGCACTAAATAAAGACTCCATTAACCACATATTAAAGAGACCTTATATATGTAAAAGGAGAAATGAAGCAATATCCTCATAAATCAGTTATTTTAATAATACCTTATTAAAAATAAGAAAATTATATAGACAATAAAATTACCTTTATTTAATTTTGAATATTATGGGAAATACCTGTAATAAAATGTTATGGAAAAAAGTGCAAGATACAATAATATAGAATATAAGCTCTATTCGGTGAAGAAAATGTTTTAGAAGAAACCCTGAAAGCAAAGACACACATTTGTTTTCATTTGTGGTCTCAGTGATGTGGTCATAAGTGATTTTGTTTCTGCTTCTGTCAGTCTCTGGTAATTTTTATATGCCCTACAATGGGAAGTATTACTTTGATACCCAAAGACATATTATGATGAAAATTGTGAAAACATATAAAAAATGTTTGGTATATAAAAAAAAACAGACAAACTATAACTTGAGTTGATTCTTTTTTTTCCTTTATATATATTTTTTAATTTTATTATTATTATACTTTAAGTTTTAGGGTACATGTACACAACGTGCAGGTTTGTTACATATGTATACAGAGTTGATTCTTAAATGACAATGAAAATACCCATGGTTTTAAGTAGGATCTGAGAGCAAGAGAAGATGTTCCAGTGAGAGGTATTTGGACAAGAGTTGCTTTAATTACACACAATAACTTCTGGGACCTAGACTAACACATAGGGCTACTATTTCTTTAGACATAGAGTTATTACTAATTATTTCTTTTCTAATTTGGCCTTGATACAGTTATTTAATTACCAGATTACGAAATAACTGGATTTCTCCAATGAGTTCTCCAGCCAAGTTAAAGAGCTTCTCCATAAACGGATCATGTTCTGGTTGAAGAGGTGACTCATAGTCTGGATTTCAGTACCATGTGTGTAAGGGGCCCCTAAAGCTCACTTCTTCCTAGGTTTGATGCACACTTCATTGCCACTGTTCAAAAACCATCACTGCCTTGCTTGTTTAGCAGAATGTCCTTGATGCTCTGTTTCTCCCAAGCTTTTCTGCTAAATCCCTCTCTTTCCAGTCTTGTTCAATACACTTTATGCTTAGAACCTCCAAGTTTCTCATTATTTGCTAAAACACCCCATATCTTCTCATTATCTTTTTTTGCTTGTTATTGCTATCAAAATCCATTTAAACATAAATTAAAAGGGACTAATTCAACCCCTATTTTCTACAAGTATGCTTTTTAAATTCCTTCCAACTACATTGGATATTTTCTTTCAGTGTCATCTTATACAACTTTACTTTTATCATAGCAGTAATCACAGGAAGTTTCACATTTGCATCCTTTTTAGGTAAGCACTTTTGTCTGCTCACTATAAGCTACTGGAGAAAAGAAGCTCTACTATTAATCTTTGTATCCCTTACAACAGCTATTCTAATGCTTTAAACACAAAAATGCACAATAATGAGTTTTGAGTTTTAATTTTTAAATATATACATATATATTACAATCAGGAATTTGTACATTTAATTCAATAAACATCAATTGAATCTAACTTTACGTGGAGCTCTGTGTTAGTTACAAATAGTATACAGATAAATAAGGAAAGATTATACATTTAAAGACTTTAACAGCAAAGTATAGTTTTTGTGTTAAAGCAGGAATAACTGTTCTTACTGATTTATGGCAAAAATATCTCTGGAATTTTATGTTTTCTGTGCAACCTGGATCTTATTTGCTTATGACATAATGAAACTCAACCAAGATTGAGCTTCATAAAGAGTCTGGAAAATATGTGTTTTTGTGGTTAATCTTGAGAGGTTCTTTGAATTATTTGTCATCTAATCAGAAAATATATATGTGTGTGTGTGTGTGTGTGTGTGTGTGCATGTGGTTCTCTGTCTTATAAGCATGATGTTACATAGAAGGACAGAAGGGAAGAACTCAATAGCATTTTGTTATTGCTAAGCCAGAAGGGATTAGTTCTCAAATCATCTCCGTTGTGTGTAAGAGTGTGTGCATTCTGTTAGCTTGTACAACTTGTGATGAAGGGATCCTGTTGAACAGATACTTGCTTTATATGTAAGCCAATTTTAAGGAAAGGAAAGGAAAAGAAAGGAAATCAACTATTAAGCATAATTTTCTGTTTGGAACAATGTTAGACATGCTCATATTTTAGATCTTATCAAATCCATTTCACAAATAAACTTTTAAAAAATGGCTGAGATAAACCATCTTAAATGAATTCACTAATTTTACAGCCCTCCACAACTATTAATTTGTGGAGAACATTTTTTCAGGAATACATTTTTAACACATCTTTTTCCTCAACACTTTTCCCATTCTTCTTATCATGATCTGTTTATTTACCAAGTAATTACTAATGAGAATAACTGTGGCACATAAATACCTATTCAAAGTATGACAATTTTTGTCACCTTGCTCAGGTAACCAAAAAGTCCTCCCCGACCCAACTGACTCACACACATTGCCATAAGAGGATACTTGCACTGGAGAAAAGTTGAACATGTGATTTTTCTACTGACAAGAGATGAACTGCTCTCCTGATCATCTATGGATAGCATACAAGGCTTTCCATGGTTAGAACCTGTGGTATGTCTAAATTCAACTGACTCTGAATAGATGAATGATTCAGTGATCCCTAAACACAACATTCGTCATATCTGTACTTCATGACAACCTGATTACTTGAGCCTTATTATTCACTTACTTTAAGTTGAAAAACTGAAGTCTCAGACTCTAATTTAAAAACTTCAACTACATCTTTCTTTTTCTTATTACTTTCATTCCCTACGTATTATAATGAGTAGACCACTATAAATTAATATTTTTAGAGAAAAGCAGATGAAAAATGAATAAATGTTTAAAATTTCTCACCATACAATTCTAAGGTATCATGTATTGATTCAATTATTTAATAAAAAAGATTAATAAAAATTAAATTAATGCTTGGCATTTATTCATATAGTACTCACAGTGTGTCAGGCACTGGTCTGAGATTTTTATATGCACTAACTTGTGTAAATATTTATTGAACCTTTAAAAGGTACCAGGTATTGCTGTATCCTAAGGATAAAGGAGTGAACATAGAGATGATCCTATCATTATGGAGCTGATATTTTAGTTGAATATCAAACTTAATAATATGCAAGGGAAGAAATAAAATCATTAGAGATTATTATAAATTTAATGACAGAGTTAAACAGAATTGTACTTAGAGATTAACTGAGATTGGCTATTTTAGTTCAGGTTGTCAATGCAGTCCTCTCCGAGCTGCCATGTAAAATGAATCAGTACTCTGAAGAGGGAATTTTAAGTGCAAATGTAAGATAAACTGCTAGGGGCAAGATCATTCATCCTCATTACCCATGGTTATGAGCTTGAGCTTTAGTTCAGATGAAATTATATAGCATACATTCTTGAAAGACCTCTCTTACTGTTTTATGAAAAATAGTCTGGGGAGGGAAAAGCTTAGAAATTCGAGAGATTTGGTTCTATGGATTTGAAGCTCAGGAAAGAGAAATCTAAGCTAAAGGCTTGGAGGCATTAATTCATGGTTGTTACTAAAACCACGGGGCTTGATAAAATCACTTGGGGAAAAAATATCACAAAGCAGTGAAGTTAGTGAGCTCCAGCACGAAACCCAAAGGCATGCCAGCATTTAGCATCAGGCAGTATGCGAGGTCTGAATAAGGGACCAAGAAGAAGAAATCAGTGAGGAGAGAGGGCACTAAGACAGTGTGGGATTGCAGAATCCCTGATGGAAAGAGAGAGATTCATGGAGGAGAGTAATCAAGTGAAGAAGAGCAGAGAAATGACCATTGGATTTGGAAGCATGATGATTATATCATGAAAACATTTGTGGAGTCCTGATTTGAAAAGAAATGGAAACTGACTAAAAAGAGAAATGGAGACGAGAAAGTGTAGATAGAACACGTAAAAAGTTCAGTGGAAAAATTTTCTTGTGGAAGGAAACAGAGGGATAGTGTCAAATACTGGACAATGTAGTGTGTATGCATGTATTAAATGCTTATGCATATATGTATTAATATTAGCATTGCTGTAATTTATATAGAACATACTTGAACGTGATAACATAGGGAAGAGACAGCCATCATTTAGAAATTGGGAGACTGCTGTGATATAGGTGAGAGGAGGGTTAAATAAAATAGCATATTCTTGAAAAAATAAGAATTTAGAAGCAAGAAGATTTGTTTTAACATAAAAAGCTAAAGTGAGAATATAGTGAGACAAGAGCACAAGTCCCTCCATTTGTGGGAGGAAATACATTATATTGAAAAGAAGCATCAGCCTTGAATTAGTTAAAACTTTACTTGCCACTTAATATCCCTGACAGTCAGGGAGTTTTTTAAAATTTATTTTAGTTTTGGTTTCTTTACTATAAAATTGGATAAAAGTATAGACCCAGTAATATAAAAGAAGATGTTTTTCACAATATGCTTATCACTTGGCATATGGCTAACTTATTGATTATAATATTATTTTGAAATAAACTATGAATGCCTATGTCTCTAAACTATTGTGTAAGTTTCATAGTCTTTATCTCACGTAGTACCTATAGGAGTAAAGGCTCAATATATTGAAATGATGTCAACTTGATAAATATTATATTCCATATTTTCCTATTCCTTCTTGACTATAGTCTCCATACAAATAATTCCATATAAACATTACATTTTAAATCAAACTTGAAAATACTGTAGACAAATCCTAATTCAAAGTGTCTGGATGATATCTTGGTATTCCCATGTTTGTTAGCACACAGAAGTGGCTTAATTAATTAATAATGA
Organism: Homo sapiens; assembly: GCF_000001405.40. NCBI lineage: Eukaryota > Metazoa > Chordata > Mammalia > Primates > Hominidae > Homo > Homo sapiens. The sequence goes on along the minus strand of NC_000008.11, from coordinate 136,720,234 downwards.
AATCAAAAATAAAGGAGAAGTTTAGAGTATATCACTCCACTGTTTACAATTTGTTTAAAAAATTAGATTATTTTTTAATTATTTTTAAATTAAAAATTGTTTAAGATTTACTCCATTGAGTAAATTTTACATTAATTTCAAATGCCTTAATACACATTGCCTTATTGGTAATAAAGATAAAATTATGTCAACCTTCTTAAATCTCTTAATCTTGTTATGTTTGAGTATGGAATAAAACGACATGTATGAGATGAGAAGAAACACTCCATACAAAAGAAAACTGGTTATAAATTTCAGGGCTAGGGCTGAGGATGTGGTTAGGAAGATGGGTTGGCTATAGAGGGTAATAAGAAAAATCTGGCATGTGATGGAATGATTTCCATCTTAACTGTGGTAGAAGTTATACAATGCTATGCATTCTTCAAATCTCAACGAACTATATGGTAAGGGGAATAAATATTATATTACATTCATTACACTTCAAAATCCACCTATAATAAAAGCCATCAGTGTGATGTTTTCAGGTCATATGTAAGTTACAAAGATTGCTTCTGTATATAAACTTTATAGGGCATAATAAATAGTTCTCTTAATCCCTTTTCCCTATCTGCACTCTGACATTGGCTTTATGGATTGTCCCATTACACTGTTCAAAGACAAGAGAGAGAAAAGAAGATGTTTAGGGATTCCTATATCATGCTTCTTTCCCCGTGCACTTCACTTTAATCTCCCTAGTCCTGTCACTGAGTACAGAGCCTCCCCAAATCAAAAGAAGTCCAGGGATATGAAGGGCAGGAAGGACAAGGGAGGAAGGAAAAAGACAAAAGAAAAGCAATTTGGCTAGCTAGTCATTGCAGATTGAATAAATATGCTAATTTCCCCTCTCTCCGAAAATACACAACACTAAATATTATAACCAAAATCATATTAAGGGAAATAAGTATCATCCACCTTTAAAGACAAAGAGAATGGAAAACAAAAACACAGAAGATGAGAAATGGATGTTTCTGCATAATTCAACTATAAAGAAACTACAGTTCCTTATCCAGTCAAATTGTCAATTATTATGAAGGCTAAAAGTAGACTTTGCAAAATCCATTGCATTTTTGTCTGTTGTTAGAAAGCTTCTGAAGACTTTTCTCCACCAAAATGAGAGATTAAAACAAGATAGAGGAAAGGGTGGGATCCAGCAGGGGCTCCAAGATGAACAGAAACAAAGGGAATTCTTACAATCAAGTTGAAGGAAAATCCCAGGTGAAATATGAGGCAATTATTAACTCTAGGAAACACAAAAACGAAAGGGACATTTAAGCATAGTACATTTCATGCATATGCTGAGTAGCATAATTATATATAATAATACTCAATAAAATACAAAAATGAAGAAACAATAATATAAGCTTATTTATTAAAAATGTAGTGAGGAATACAAGACTCAACAACCTAAAGACTGACAGTGGTTCCTCTGAGAAACAACACTTGGGAGTGAAGTAGGGAAACAGTGACGGGTTGCTGTTTTCAGTCCTAGTTATTCTGGTTCAATTTGAATTTTGAAACTATGTACATTTATTGCATGATTTTTTTTTTTTTTGACACAAAGCCTTGCTCTGTCACCCAGGCTGGAGTGCAGTGGCGCAATCTCGGCTCACTGCAACCTCTGCCTCCCAGGTTCAAGCAATTCTCCTGCCTCAGCCTCCTGAGTAGCTGCGACTACAGGTGCCCGCCATCACACCCAGCTAATTTTTGTATTTTTAGTAGAGATGAGGTTTCACCAAGCTTGTCTCAAACTCCTGACCTTGTGATCCACCCGCCTTGGCCTCCAAAAATGCTGGGATTACAGGCATGAGCCACCGCACCTGGCCTATTGTTTGAAATTTTTAAAAAACTCATTAAAAAACAGTATTCATAAATACAAAAATAAGGTAACAGAAGTGTTCTAATGGCATACTGTGTAGTACTGGGTGATTTACTTCTCTCTTCTCCTTTTGGAGCTCTTTAAGACACGAATCCAGTTGTATTGACCTTTGGCACCCACACAACTTGCACACAAGGAACATAGCATATGCTCAGAATCTTCTTTTTGTTTTTTAGCAAATAACATATGAAAGAATAAATGGCACGTGGCTACTGAGAATCCACAAAAAAGCAACAATTACATAAAAACAAAGCCAGCAATTGAGGGAATTGAACACAGGCCGCAGAGTGACTCGTTGAATTCTTCTCACCAAATTATAGCTTTTGGCACCTCTTGGGATAAGGACACAGGCTTCACATCCTGGTTGTTTTAAATTCACAAAGGCTCATCTCTCTGTCAAAACGCAAATGGCCTCTTGAGGTTTTCTCTGCAAGTGTTGACAAACTTAGAAATCATTCACAGATGATCCACCTTCTTTTGTCCTCTATAATTTCATTAATGGAACCATCACACACCTGGTGATGGCTCACCCACTATTATTCATAGTTCCTGTCTCCAGCCTTCTATTTATAGATTGATCAAAAATAAGCATAGCAGGTATTGCATTTCCAATATTCTTTTTGTACAACATAATCCTTTTAGGTGATTTTAGATTCACATGCAATTGTAAGAAGTAATACAAAGATATTCAATGACCCCTTCACTCTATTTTCCCCAATGGTAGCATCTTTTAAAACTATAGTACAACATCACAACCAATAAATGGACATTGATACAATCCATCAATCTTAGTAACATTTCAGCAGTTTTACATGGACTCATTTGTGTATATCCAGATTCCTTTTTTGGCAGCACCATGATTCTTCCCATGAATTCATGACCAAATGTGCAATATATGTCCCCACATGAGGTTCTTATCAGATCAATGGCTTTGGGAACATTTCGTCATGCAAGAGTCTATATTCAAGTAAAATGTGGCCATTCCCAGACTCTTTCCTCTGAATAACGTACATCTCCTCATATTTAGTATTCCCAACCACTATACAAAATTATTTTTACTTTGTAGATGACATTGCTGAAATTCAGAGAGGTTTAGTGATTTGCATGGTGCTGTGTGTTATTACATGACATGTATATTATTTACATTTTGTGTCAAAAGTCAAACTTTTCTGTAGTCCAAGGGAAATTCTTATTTTTTTTTAAATAACTCATTGTGAATTGTGAATTCCCTAAACATCAAATTTATCTATACATAACTAGCTGAAAACAAGGTTCTAAGAAAAAAAAAGGGGGCGGTGATAAAGGGTGATGAAGACACAGAATGACTGGACAATACTCATGGATTACAGGCATAAACTCTATGTTCCAATTGAGTTGCAGTGGGTGCCATGAGGGACCTCAGTGTCAAGAGTAAATAAAGCAGAATTGAGAGGCAACAAAAACATAATCTATTTGACAACCGCCTCCAGTGCTTCTTGTTCCCTGGCCCATGCCACCCACATGTTTGTGTTTTCTAACTGAAAGTTTGCACCATGGCAGCTGACCTGTTCCATCCCCAGGCACTCATCCTTCTGTACAAGCTATGGGCTGTGCAACTTTGCCTGAGGACTTTCTCTAAGGAACTTACAATATGAAGGAGAGATTGTGGAAAAGTTCTTCAGCTTCTTCTCCCCTCTGGGAGAGAGGAGCTCCCAGAGGGGAGCAACTCCAGAGAATGTTCTACACTGTATCTTAGAGATCCCCAGTGGGAGGGAAACCCATTGTCCACAGTGGTAATGTACTCATTAGCCCACTTTACACTGGCTTCATTCCCTTCCCTCTCTCCATTCGCATTCTCTACCCTCATTCTGAGCCTTTCTGGCTCCCCAAACTACTTGCTCTCAAATTGTGTCTCTTTCTTGGGAAAACATGTCTAAGGAACACACACAAACTATCTTCCTTTATCTCAGCTTATACAATTCATTCTTTGCTTTTCTTAGACAAGTTACTTGGCAAGTATTTATTGGTACTTCCCATAGGCCAGCAACTATGTTCAATGGTAGAAACAGAAAGTTAAGACATGATTCACTTCCTTAGCGAATTCATAGTGTGATATCAAAATAGAAAGATATATAGATGAATGTAAGATAACTTAATGATGAGATTTGAACAGTTAAAAGTAATACGGACACAAAGAAGAGAGAGTTCTTACCTGTCAATGGGGTCATATGCTTTTCAATAGTATAAGGATTTAAGCTATAAGAAGTATTTTATAAGGCAGAAAAGAGAAAATAAAATTCTAGGATAAAACAAAACAAAATAATTCAGTCTAAGTTAAATATAATTCATTCATTTGTTCAACATTTACTGAATGCCTATTCTTCACCAGGCATCTTTGTAGAGTCATGTTTGTTAAGAAGGTCCAGAGAATATGAAATCACAGCATTCTTTGCTGAAGATAATAACTATTACATAGTCATTTTTTTGTAGGGTCTTGCCTCACTTAATTATTGACAATGAAAATGCAGAGTCACTCCCATTTCATACATGTTGAAACAGCTGACTTATTAGAAGCCTAAGTTGCTTTCCCAAGTTGATGTAGCTATAAATTAGAAAACCCAAGATTCTAGCATATGTCTCTCTAACTTTTAAGCCTATGCTTTGTTATGAAGCATATGAGGCCATAGCTATGAAGCCATAGCTCCTGCTATATTTTACCAGCTCTCCATCACACCCTCATAGTGGCAGAATGAGATTCTTGTTTCAGGATAATGAATACAGAGGCAATATAGAGAGAAGCTAGGGACCAAAATGAAGTCACAAGTTAGGAATCCATTAAGCAATTGCCAGGGAGACGCAGAGAACACCTGGATTGAGACATTGACCAAAGTGATACAAAAGATGTAAATTTAATACAAATTCCAGGAAAGGAAAGGACCATTGGGATGGGGTGGAAAAAGAAAGATTTAGCATATTTCAGATTTATGAATTGGGTAGCAGGTTTACCATATTTTTGATTTATGAATTGAGTATCATTAATTGAAATAGATTATGAGAAAAGTTGGAGGAAAAAATGATTAGAAATAGATTTTGTACTGCTAATTTTCATTCATTATCCATCCACTAGCTTCCCCCAACACACACCACCAATGTTCAGCAAATTAGTTTTGATAGACATTTTGAACTCTAAAAAGGATCTCAAAAAATGCAGGGTATGACCTTCAAATGAAATGAAGCTCATCCCTGGTGTATCATGATTTTTATTTCTGACTTACACTAGCCTAAAAAAAGAAATCCTTATATAAAAATAAGCATTTAAGGTCATTGAAATCCTCCTGTTATGATTAGCTACAAAAATATGCCCATTTCAAACATAACCTAAAATAGTAACAGAATCAGCATGTAGTTCAATTCCAAGAATTCCAAGGATGTTTTTCCACTTTCATTAAAATTCACTGCAATGAAGAAATTATGTGAATATAATTTAAAAGCTTTACAAGGAAACTCTTTAAAATTGATAGTTATAAGTGTTTACAATACAAATTCAAGGTGATTACATATTGATTAGTACTTGCTTACATGACTCTTAAGAAACCACACAATCTGCTTCCAAACAGCAATCTCTTTGAACACTTGACCTTGATGAGGTTGATGCTGCTTTTGGTGACAGAACTTTTAAAATTCAGATTTTATTATCTTGCCATGGTTTGGGTTGGCTTTTTAAAATATTTGGCTATCAAGGCAGCAATACAATACCTACCAGAAGCCAAATTTTGGTTACAAGTTTTAAGTGGATAATTTCAGTGGTAACAAACCACCTAATGTTTGTTGAATGCTTTGCATATGCCAGACAATGTTCTAAGATTTTTGCTTTACATTGATTTTATTAAATTCTGCAAATTGTTGACAGAAGCAATTGTGTTCTGAAAAGCAGACCTAGAATCAAATTCTAGCTTGCCATCATTAGTTGATGATAATTCCTTATTCCTGCACAATTGCTTGTATTTAAGATGTTCACTCCCGCCTCTAGATGGAGCTCCAGTACTCTTCATTTTAAGTAACACAGAAGTAGCCTGTGAGTCATATATCCAGATCATTGATGATGCGTAGCTATGGGCCACCATATGGCAAATAGCCCTTGTTGAGATTGAAGATTGTCTTTGATGCTTTTACATTGAAAGTTCCCTCTATTTATATTCTTTTTGACCCAACCATTAGAATCAAGCATGGACAGGAGGAGGCGCAAAGATACTGGAGCAAAGAGAAAGACCACAGAGACTTCTTCAGCTTCAAGAAGGTTAATGATATAGAGTAGTTTTAATTTTAAACTCTCTTGTTCTTTTTTAGTCTGGAGTGGTGTTTCTCTGGGTAGCACAACTCTCTCAGTATCTAAATAGTCCAATTTTTTTTAACTTAAAGTATTTAAATCCCATCAATTCCATGTGACCATTATAACCCACAATTCTTTTGAAACCTGATTGTGATATATGTTCTATTTATTTGTCTACTTGCCTCTTATTTTCTCCTTTATTTTTTATTTTTTGTTTTGTTTTGTTTTGAGACACAGTTTTGCTTTTGTTGCCCAGGCTGGAGTGCAATGGCATGATCTCAGCTCACTGCAACCTCCACCTCCAAGGTTCAAGTGATTCTCCTGTCTCAGCCTCCCGAGTAGCTGGGGTTTACATGCATGTGCCACCATGCCCGGCTAACTTTTGTACTTTTAGTAGAGATGGGGTTTCCACATGGTGGCCAGGCTGGTCTTGAACTCCCGACCTCAGGTGATCCACCTGCCTCGGCCTCGCAAAGTGCTGGGATTACAGGCATGAGCCACTGTGCCCAGACATTGCCTTTTATTTTCTACTGAAGCACCAATGTCTTCTGGAGCCTACAGGCATTGGGAGAAAAGCCACTCCTTTAGGTTTTCCATGGGCTATTTTGCCCTGTTAAAGGATCTGCCAGGTGCCATAATCTTAATTGAGTCTGCACAGTTCCATGGGGTTATGGGATCCAGTTTCAGTACCAGATTTATTGAGACTAGAAATGAGAGTGGCATTGTAAGATCAACAGTTTTGGAAGCTCTCTTAATAGTATTATGGCTGAGAATGGACTAGGGAAATGAATGTCTCCCTAGTGTGAGAATGGACTAGGGAAATGAATGTCAATTCAGACACTGTTTCTGTTCATTAAACAAATATTCATGCTATGCCCCTATATTCCAGTAAGCGTGGGGAGTACAAAAGTTGGAAGACAAACAGATAAGAAGTTGTGTGATTTTGGTGAAGAAAGTGAGACTGTTTGTTCTAAGGCAGTATTCAGAAGGCAGATTTAAAAAGGTTTTTCTGGCCCAGGCAATGGCAGATAGTCTAAGACAAATGGGTTTCTTTTCCTCATTTTGGGCTCTGGTCCTTGGTGAATTTCATCTCCTCCAGGCTGCTAGAGTTTCCTGTCTCATTTTCTCTCTGAAGCATAGAATATGGCTTATTCAAAGGAGGGGGCCTCTGGGATTCCTCTTAACTTAGATGAAATTCTCCCATAGCTCAATTTCCTCATAGTCCCTTTGACATCACTCTATCCCTCTCAGAATGTCAAAAGTTTCTAATTTCTCTGCTAACCAGAAGGAAAGCTAGCAGGGGAACCAGCCCCCAGTATTTCAACATAGGTTCTTTCTATTTTCCCTAAGTGTCAGCCAGTCTGAGAAATAAAGAGAAAGAGTACAAAGAGAAATTTTACAGCTGGGCCTCCGGGGGTGCCATCACATATTGGTAGGACCATGATGGCGACTCCAAGCTGCAAAACCACGAAGTTTTTATAAGGGATTTTAGAAAGGGAGGGGATGTACAAACAGGGAGTAGGTCACAAGGATCACGTGCTTCAAAGTGTAATAAAAGATCACAAGGCAAGGGCAAAATTAGAATTACAGATAAGGATCCATGTCCCACTGTGCACACATTGTCTTGATAAACATCTTAACAGGATACAGGGTTCGAGAGCAGACAGGATACAGGGTTCGAGAGCAGACAACCATTCTGACTACAATTCACCAGGCTGGAATTTCCCAATCCTAACAAGCCTGAGGGCACTGCAGGAGACCAGGGTGTATTTCAGTCCTTATCTCAACCTTGTAAGACAGACACTCCCAGAGCGGCCGTTCATAGACCTTCCCCCAAGAATGCATCCTTTCCCCAGGGCTATCAATTATTAATATTCCTTGATAGGAAAAGAATTCAGTGATATTTCTCCTACTCCCACATCTATCTCTAGGCTTTCTGTAAGAAGAAAAATATGGCTCTATTCTGCCCGACCCCTCAGGCTTATCTCCCTATTCCCTGAAAATCGCTGATATTCTGTCCTTTTTCAGGGTGCACTGATTTCATATGGTTCAAACACAAGTTTTACAAACAATTTGTACAGTTAATGCAATCATCACAGGGTCTTGAGGTGACATACATCCTCAGTTTACAAAGATGACTGGATTAAGAGATTAAAGTAAAGACAGGCATAAGAAATTATAAGAGTATTGATTGGGGAAGTGATAAGTGTCCATGAAATCTTCAGAATTTATGTTCAGAGATTGCAGTAAAGACAGACTTAAGAAATTATAAAAGTATTAATTTTGGAAACTGATAAATGTCCATTAAATCTTCACAATTTATGTTCTTCTGCTGTGGCTTCAGCCAGTCTCTCCATTCAGGGTCCCTGACTTCCCACAACAGAAAGCCTTTGATAAAATGACAGATTGTGAACTTTATGAATTGCAGGTAAATTTTTAATGGCTACTCTTATTTTGATTTTTTTTCAATCACAGGATCTTTGGCATTTGATCACTATGGGTTTTTTTTTTCAAAATGGAATGTGATTATTCAAAATACTGTACTCAAAGGTAAAGTAATGATTTTTAAAGGAAAAAGAGGAAAAGCAAACAAAATTATACTGGAGAACATGTTGGAAGATGGTTACAGTTTTACATATTTTTTTCTGTAAACTAATATAAATAATTTCCTATAGAGATCACTGGAAAGTAAAACAATTTATTTTTCTCTTTAGAGAATATTAAAGCTTAGGCATGCAATGACTTTTAAATTGATCCATGATAAGAACCCTTAAGGAATTTTTCTAGAATCATATGAATATTGATTGATACCCATTGATATGGAAGTATATGGTTTTCTAGGACAAAAATCTGTAATATACTAGAACAAAATCCATATATGCAGGCTTGATATTTTCTTTAATAAAATATAAGAAAAGTACTAGCTAAATATCTTTTATGTGTTTATATTTACAAATCTCAGATGCCAATAGGATTTCCTCCTCTTAAGGAAAAAACAAAACAAACCATTTCTTTAAGGAAGTAACTCTAGGGACCAGTGGTATAGCTTTTTCAAATTGAAGGCATCACACTCGTTCAAAAGGTAATGAATGATTAGAGTATGAAAGGCATCACAAAGCCCATGTAGCAAAGTAGATACTGCCTTTGAGGGTGAGTGCATACACAAAGCTTACAGCCATTTATGCTGCAGTAACCAAAATTGCTAAGCATGTTTGTTGGCAAGGTACCATCTCTTGTCCCCTCCTCCACCTCTTCTCCTCACCCTGTTCAGATTATTCTCATATTATATTTTTTAACTATAAAATTTTCTCTATGCCTTTCTTTTAAGGACAACTTTATCTTTCTCCTTGAGGTCACATTTTTAGAAGAAATATCCTACTTGTTCCATTTCGCCTCAAACTTTCTTAATAATTGCAATATTCTTCTTATTATTATTAATATCACAGAATATAATACACAGTTGATGGACTATCAATAGCCATTTCTGCCTCTTCCCACTAGTGTGCCTTCTGTAGTCCAAACACTGGATGTCCCAGATAGGTGACTGTGGTATCCCGATCAGTTATACACAAAGGTGATTTGGAAGGCAGGAAGGAGAAGGGTCTGGGTTTCTGCTCTTTCTCCCAGCAACATCCTTCTTGGAGGATTTCCACTTTCCTGAGGCAGCATTGGCTCCTGTCGGTGTTTGGTCACTAGCTTAATGGCGTAGGGATGCAGGGTATGAGGCTTCCATTTTGCTAGAGCAAGCATAGCAGGTGCAGCATAGTTCTAGTCCTGTAAGCATTATCACCAGAACCCAGAGTGTAGCTTAGCGGCATGAATCTGGAACGAGCAGTTACAGTGACAGCTTTGGCAGATCCTCAGCTCACAGGACTTTCCTGGTAGCACTTTTCTCAGGAATGCTTTGAGAAACTTATTTCTGAAGACTAAACCAAGAGTTTAGTTTGGGTTTCTTTATTCTTTAGTCTTAAAATGACTTTGTAATTCTTTTAATATTCTGAAATAAGTCACTTCATGCTTAAAATAAAGCAGATTATTTCTCTGCAACTAACTGAGTGGTGATAAATTCAGTAGCTATCACCTTATATTGATTTCATTACTTTTCTCTTTCCCTAACTCATGTTTGAGGGCAAAAGTCATACCTAGTTAATGTCATTATCATTGTTCCTTCCACTGTTTTACAAGTGTCTAGTAGTATCTTAGTCACAGGAGATGCTCACAAATGATGTGCTAAAAGTTATAGACCCTTTAACAGAAAAAATATATATAACACCAACAACCTCAAATATAAAAGCAAGATAACTCCTCCAAATATTTTGTGGTAGAACATTATCTGCTGTTATTAAATAATAAAAAGCAGATAACGATCTTTCCTTTTAATATTTTTTCTATTACTATCCCTAAAATTTTATTTTAATTAAAATATAAATAATGACAAGGATTTACTTGCACAATAGAAATACTTAATTCACAAGGCTGTTAGTTGGCTTAAATAGATTAGGCAGTTAAGATTTTTAAATTAAATGTGATCAATTATTCCATTTTACATTTCCTATTCCCACTTTAGTGAAAGAGGGGCACCTCTAAGATGGCAAGTGTAGAAACCTTCAAGATCATCAAAGACAATGACAGGGGTCAATTTGTTGCTCTGCGACAACTAAATAATACAGAAACTTAGAAAAATTGTTTGTATATTTTATATAATAAGCATTATCTTAAAAAAATGTAAAATCCAAACTTTACATCAAAGGAATACATCATCAGCCAATAGTAATTAGTATAGTTGCTTATTTTTAATTTTCATTATATACCTATTTGTATATAATAAATTAATTTATATGCAATAAATGTATATGTAAATACATTTATATAAATAAATATTGATTCTTATATATTTATATATAATTTATTTATATTTATATATTAACTTATTTTTGAGATGGAGTCTTGCTCTGTCGCCCAGGCTGGAGTGCAGTGATGCAATCTCGGCTAACTGCAACCTGCCTCCCAGGTTCAAGCAATTCCCCTGCCTCAGCCTCCTGAGTAGCTGGGACTACAGGCACGCGCCACTGTGCCTGGCTAATTTTTGTATTTTTGATAGAGACGGGCTTTCACCATGTTGGTCAGCATGGTCTCAAACTCCTGACCCCATGATCTGCCCGCCTCGGCCTCCCAAAGTGCCGAGATTACAGGAGTGAGCCACCGCCCAGACCTATATATTTATTTCTTATATCTAGTATGTATCTATCTCATTCTTATACTTTCCTTGGAATATTTAGAATTTTTGGTGGAAATAGTTGGTGTTATGTTCAGTTTTAAATGGTAAATAGTATTAAACATATATCAAGCATTTTCCAAACTGATTTTGATATCTGCTTATAGGTTATATTTTTATTTCACTATAATACTTCATGTAAGATTTTACTCTGTTATATTAAAAAATTTCACAGAAAAATGACCTGTAAAAATACTAATGTCAAATGGATAACTGAAGGTCAGAAATAGCAATCACTATATAATTCTAAATTGTTTTTAAAATGCGATAAAGAACCTGAAAACAAATTCTCAAAATATAAATGAGTAAACTATACAGTAGAACTATGAATATTTGCATGTATTTATTTTATTATAATGCTTTGAGTTTTTAAAATATTTTGTAAGTAATATTTTCATTTTGTCTTGCCTCTGTCCTGAATACCTATCACATAGCCTGGAATATAACTGGCAATTAATACATATTTATTTAATGGTTGAGTGAATGAATAAAATCACTCCTATCTGTGATTTGCCATTTTATTATCCTCACTGAAATATAATCTCCAGGCAACACATTTGTGTCTGTAGTTCCACACCCCAACGATCCTATGTCAGGAACGTGGTGGGGGTTAATGATCTTTATGACTATTTGAGTGTCAATGCTAATTATGGTAATAAAATAAACATTTTACATCTATGTGGAAATTTATAACTTTCCAAGCACTTTTATATCTGTGATTTCATATATTACAACGTCACTGTGAGTGAAGTAGAAAATGGATAAAGAAGTCGCTGGACTTCTGAAAGACCAAATATTAAGCAGCCAGAATTCAGCAGAGTGAATTCTTCAGAGAAGATTCCCAGGCTAATGAAGTGAGGGCTACAACTCAACGTTGGAGTCTAGTCCAGGTAATTGCTGGGGATCTAAGCTGCACCATATGAGACAGCGGGATTAACTGTGGACTGCATAGACAGAGGTAGAATGTGGTCTGCAGACCAACAACGTAGGTGTCATCAGAAAACTCATTAGAAAGGTGGATTTCCACCATCATTCTCAGCAAACTATCCCAAGGACAAAAAACCAAACACCGCATGTTCTCACTCACAGGTGGGGATTGAACAATGAGAACACATGGACACAGGAAGGGGAACATCACACACCGGGACCTGTTGTGGGGCGGGGGGATGGGGGAGGGATAGCATTAGGAGATATACCTAATGCTAAATGACGAGTGTGGGTGCAGCACACCAACATGGTACATGCATATTTATGTAACAAACCAGCACGTTGTGCACATGTACCCTAAACTTAAAGTATAATAAAAAAAAAAAAAAAAGAAAGGTGGATTTCCAGGCATTACTCCAGATTTAGTAAAACAGAATCTGCATTTTAAAGTTCAAGTAACTGTATTTCCCACTAGACTGGTATGACACCACTGCAAAATGAAAATCACCTGGGGAGTTGTTATAGTGCACTGATGCCTGGGCTCTTCTCTGGACCAATTAAATCAGTATCTGAAAGGGATGGGATCCAGGGATCCACCTCTGGAAGCATCCTCCTTGATTCACATTACAGAGGTGGAATACACTGGTAGAGATCAGTGGTTCTCAAAATTTTGGGTCTCAGGTTACCTTTAAATTGTTAAAAATTATTGAGCACCTTAAGGAGTGTCTGGTCATGTGAGCTATATCTACCATTTACTGTTTTAATTAGAAGTTAAAATCAGATATTATTAAATGTTTATTAATTCATCTAAATTGATAATATAAATACACACTAACAACACAAATATATGAAACATAACTACATTATATAAAACAAAAAGATAATGAAAATAACATTATTTCATATTTTTTGCATATTTATTATTTGGCTTAATAGAAGACACTTTAATTCTCACATCTGTTTCTGTATTCAAACTGTTGCCACATGTTTTCTGTTGAAATATGAAAAGACAATCTGACTGCTCAAGGGTATATAGTGAGAAAAAGAAAGAGTATTTTTTTTTTTTTTTTTGAGATGAAGTCTTGCTCTGTCACCCAGGCTGGAGTGCAGTGGCATGATCTCGGCTCATTGCAACCTCCAGCTCCCAGGTTCAAGTGATTCTCCTGCCTCAGTTTCCCGAGTAGCTGGGATTACAGGTGCGTGCCACCACGCCTGGCTAATTTTTGTATTTTTAGAAGAGATGGGATTTCGCCATGTTGGCCAGGCTGGCCTTGAACTCCCAGCCTCAGGTGATCCGCCCACCTCGGCCTCCCAAAGCGCTGGGATTACAGGCCTGAACCACTGTGCCCAGCCAAGAAAGAGTATTTTAATAGTTCTTTCAATTGAAGATATTCTTTAATACTATACCAAAACTTGATAACTAATATTTACTCAAAGGGTACTTAAATGTAGAATCTGAAACCATCAGTACCCTTTTGAACCCTGTTACATAAAAATGTATTGGATCTTTTATCAAGCATGACTTTAAAACTTCATGCATTAGCCGTTGGAAATAATGGGTTTACTGAATTTTGCATTATTCCAAATGTAAATACATATTTCACTCTACATTCAAAAAATATATTGCTAATATTAAGATCATTCTCATCTGAAACTTTATAAGTACTAGGAATAATTTTGTTTTCCCAAATTCTAATTTTCACTTGAATGCTCAAATCTTTGATCACAGATAATGATAGTTATTTTCTTGAAGAGAGAGTTTAGTTTTAATACTTTTTTGAGAGAATGTCTGCCAAATACACAAGTTTGAACACCTAGTACCCATTAATTATTATTTTAAGTAAAAATTGTATTTTATATAAAAATAAAACAAAACAAAACAAAAAAACTAGCTGATGCAGTTTCAAGACAAACAACCTCACAAGTGCTTTTTCTGGTAACACTCATCAGATTCCAGAAGTGCTTTATGCACCCTTCCTATTCTGTCACACAGAATATTGAAAAGCTGTATGTCCATGAGTTAAGATTTAAATTAATTAATGCTTTTACTGTTACTACTTCAGCAAATATAATGCCTTCCAGTAATGTTAGTGCCACTGTCTTGATTCATACGAAAGCACCGACCATTTTATCATCATTGCTTTTGTGTAATCATTAGTGCAGATGTCAAAACAGTTAAGGATAATTAACATCTTAATATTGTTTTGAAAGAGTTTTCACATAATGGGTCTCCTGAATGAAGGTTGGGGAACTTCAGGGTTTCATAAACCACACTTCACTTCTACTCTTACTGGTCTACTTCTGTGTTAAGTTGGACCACACTCAGATGTGTGTATGATTTAGGCAATTTTTGGTAGAGAACCAACAATTCCAACAATATCTATGTTGATGCACAGTCATGCTAACTATTTACAATGAAGAGTATGCTTATATAATTTCAATTTCTTAACATCTGATTTTGCCTCCATCACATGAAGGCTAACTAAAACTTTGCTCAATAAGAAGCCCTAAAAAGAGCAAATGTGGTTAAATCTGCAAAGGTAGACTTTGTTTAGCTGGAGAAGGAATTATCAAGGGCTCTTTCTAAATGATATATTTTACATAACAGCAGCCCCAAATTGTGATTTATATTACAATGATTAACTGATATTTTTCTCATATATATCTTTAAATTATACACTAAAAAGGGAACTCTAATAGCAAGAAGAGTCCACAAAAAAAATAAAAATAAATTGTGACAGGCATCTTTATCTCCTAAAATCACGAGTCTTACTTCATTTTAGCCATATTATGGCTCCCATCTGGACATTTCTTAGATGTCTGGGAGTGCTCCTTTCCAAAGGGAAGGCCAGCCTTAGGCTTCTCTTATTCCATTAATCTCACTATTAATAAAAAAGGAATTATTCATTTCTTTTTTTTTTTTTTTTTTTTTTTGAGACGGAGTCTCGCTCTGTCGCCCAGGCCGGACTGCGGACTGCAGTGGCGCAATCTCGGCTCACTGCAAGCTCCGCTTCCCGGGTTCACGCCATTCTCCTGCCTCAGCCTCCCGAGTAGCTGGGACTACAGGCGCCCGCCACCGCGCCCGGCTAATTTTTTGTATTTTTAGTAGAGACGGGGTTTCACCTTGTTAGCCAGGATGGTCTCGATCTCCTGACCTCATGATCCACCCGCCTCGGCCTCCCAAAGTGCTGGGATTACAGGCGTGAGCCACCGCGCCCGGCCGGAATTATTCATTTCTATCTTTACTAGATCAAGAAGCTCCAACCCAAAGTATGCTATGCATAAGTTTTTGTCCTTTTCCTTGAATCTTAACTATGATTTTTTTTCTCCTCTCCCAAATAAGATGAAAGAGGCCTGGAGTTCTCCATAAAAATTAGAATTTTCTCATTAATACATTTTTGTATCACCATTTGTCAGATAAAGAAACTGAGATATGTATATATGAAGTGCATTTCACAATCAAAATGCTACTTTTAGTAACAAGGCTGTTTTTAAGTTTTCAACACCTTTTCATCAGATTTTATTTCTTACCCTTTTCCAAGGACTGGCTAAGAAAACAAATGTATAAACAAGTGAATGAGTGCACGATCCATATTTTTTTTTTAAATAACTCAAGCCACTGATTTTGCTTTTTGTTTTTTGTTTGCTGATGCATGGCCCAATTATTTCAGGCCGAATGTCATCTTTGTTCAATTTCAATCTTCTGGCATCTGATTTTTTTTACACCCCCAGAAAGGTCATTACAACTTTATTCCCCAAGCATCTATTGAAAGAACAAATGCAGTTAATTCTCAAAGTCAAATTTAGTTTAACTAGAGGAGCTTTTGGTAATTGATGTCTTTTACATAAAAGCAGCAGTACATCCATTCATGGGCTGCAAACATAAAAGGCATTGCATTTGTGTAGAGACTGCAATTTCCCCGGTAATTTTTCATCACAACTGGAGTCTTTTATCTTCTGTCAATCAACAGGTGGAAACAGAGAAGAGCTTTATCCACTCTACTTCAAGTAACAGAGAAGGAGGCCCCATTAGACTGTAGGAAGACAATGCTAGAAATGCTTGCATCTTCCTCTATATGGTCTACCTAAACTAACATGTTTTCCCCATTGGTAGACAATCTGGTATTGTTATAAATAATTACAAATTGTTAAGCCATAGAAAGTGAGTTATCAAAATGTATTAATAGAAACCCCATTTTAATTGCACATATTCCTTCTCTACTCTGACTTCCCGCTGAAATGTAATGGCAATTTAATTATCAATACCTAATCACCTACTAATAAATAACCCTTGTTTACTGTATTTTTTTTAGCAAAATTTACAGAAAAAAATGTGTATGGCTCTTTATTTTTCTTATCCTGGAAACTGTGATGTGAGAGATCTTAAGCATAAAATTCAACGCATACACTAAATTAAAAAAAGAATCATTGACTTTTACATGTTTAGTTGTGAAAAATAACATATTTGTGATTCAGAACTAAATTCATGCCTTTATTTACTGGGCATATGTGAGATCAAAATGAACCACTAAACTGTCATTAAAGCTTAGAGTTTTAGAAGGACAGGGGAGTTAACATTCCTTGCATTGAAAATGTTGTTTTGCAGATAAAGAGTTTGAGGTGGCCGGGCGCGGGGGCTCACTTTGGGAGGCCGAGGCAGGCGGATCACGAGGTCAGGAGATCAAGATCATCCTGGTTAACACGGTGAAACCCCGTCTCTACTAAAAATACAAAAAAATTAGCTGGGCGTGGTGGCGGACGCCTGTAGTCCCAGCTACTCAGGAGGCTGAGGCAGGAGAATGGCCTGGACCCAGGAGGCGGAGCTTGCAGTGAGCCGAGATTGCGCCGCTGCACTCCAGCCTGGGCAACAGAGAGAGACTCCATCTCAAAAAAAAAAAAAAAAAAAAAAAGAGTTTGAGGATACAGATTCTTCCTAATCTCAGTAACTTTCTCAATTTCCCCTATAGTAAAAGAGCAGAAAATGTGATATCAACATAACGTTTTGGTTTTGTTTGTTTATTTGAGATAGAGTTTGCTCTGTCACCCAGGCTGGAGTACAGTGGTGCGATCTTGGCCCACTGCAAACTCCCCCTCCTCCTGGGTTCATTGGATTCTCATGCCTCAGCCTCCCGAGTAGTTGGGATTACAGGTGTGCACCATCATGCCTGGCTAATTTTTGTATTTTTAGTAGAGGCCGGGTTTCACCATGTTGGCCAGGCTGGTCTCAAACTCCTGACCTCAAGTGATCCTCCCACTTAGGCCTACGAAAGTGCTGAGCTTAATGGTGTGAGCCACCATGCCTGGCCCAGTTTTACTAAACATACATGTGCAAATTAGATATTTTGTTTTATACACATATGTATAAATATGGCTACATTTATCTTTATTCATGAAATATATTTTCAAAGTGCATAGAATTCTAAATTGGCAATTTTTTTTTCTAATTTTAAAATGTTTTTCTATTCTCTTATGATATGCATTATCTCTTGAAAATTCAGCAGTTAATTTCAGTATTACACCTTTAGCGATTATCTGTACTTTAAAAAATTGGTTGCTTTTAACACATTTAAAAATTGTTATTTAGCAGTTTTACTATGATCTATTCAAGTCTTATTTTCTTTTTATTTATTTGGCTTGGGGTCTGTAGATCTTCTGAATCTGTAGCTTGGAGATATATATATGTGTGTGTGTGTGTATATATATATATATATGTATATATGCGTGTGTGTGTGTGTGTATATATATATATATATATATATATATATATATATATATATATCTCCAAGTTCCATATATATACATATGGAACTAAGATAAACACTATGTCTTCAAACATTGCTTCTGCAATATTTTTGCTTTTCTACAATTCTATTTCTACAAATCAAACTGTATGAATCTTAGAATTTCTCACTTTTCCCCCTTTCCTTCTCTTCTGTATTTTTCATTCATTTTAGTGTTTTGTGTTTCAACCTAAATAATTTCTTTTATTCTAAAATTTAATTAATTAATTCTCTATTCAGTAGAGTCTAAAGCACAGTAAAACAAATCTATTGGCTTTTAAAAATTCATTATTTTACTTTTAATCTGTAAAAGAAGTAAATAATTTCATTATTTTACTTTTCACTGTAAAAAAAGTCTCCTTTTAGACATGTATATTTTGTAACCCTCTGCCTAAATGCTTAATCTTGTCTCTATTATCTTTTTGGAAATGGTAAGTATTTTTTATTTAAATTGTGTGTGTCACAATATAAGTATCTATAGCCTGCCAGTCTATTTGTATTTTGTACTCTTTCTGCTAGGTATTTTCTTTCACTTTAATTTTATTTTTACCATATTGAATATCTCCCTATGTGTGCCCAATTATTTTTATCCATATCTAGATAGTGTATTAACTAAATTGTTTATGATATTAACTTGAGACTTACTATGTTTTTCTTTCTTTAGAGTGGGTTTTGTTTCTTTTTTGTCAGGGACATAGAGTACTTGACAGTCAGAATTCAGAAAAAAGTATTCCTCCTCAATTACTTCTTCCTATCTTGTTTATTGTTTTTTTCTTCTATTCAGATATTTTAGATAAAATCACTGGGAGATTGAAAACTATAGATCTGGGCATTTTAGTTAGTATGCTAGTATACTCCTATACCTCCCAGAGCTTTAAATATAGTTACTAGCCACTTGCAGTTATTTACATTTAAATGTATTTAAATTAAATAAAATTGACAATTTAGCTTCATAGTTACACTAGCCATATTTCATTAGTTCAAAAGCCACATGTGGCTACAGCTATCATATTTTGTAACACTGATACAAAATATCCTCATCAGTACAGAAAGTTCCATTGCAAAATACTACTTTAAGAATGACAGGTCATTTGGGAAGAGAAGAGTTGAAGTAAACTGCAAATGTTAGTGTACTGCCTCAGCAATCTGACTCTTATTTCTTCACATTGTGTGTAAAATCAAAAATCTACCTTGTCCAATTCATTATCCTATCGACCTTGAAATCCTTGATGTTCTCCTCAAAGTATTTCACATTTTTTAACTCTTTTTCAGAATGTTTTTCTACCTTCTATGTAGCTTAACAAACACCTGGTAATAAAAATAGTATTTTCTTATCTAGTCATTCAGTTTCAGACTTACTTCAAGAAAGGCATATATTTTCTGATTCTTTTCTATAATTTTCATGATATCTACTTTCATTGTCTGGACTACTAACTGGAATTGATTCTTTATCAATAGCTACTTTAATTCCTAAGCATTACAATTTCTAAATTGTTTCAGTGGTGACATTTTGGACATACAATCTAGAACTCTTAGCCTAAATACCAAAAAAAAAAAAAAAAAAGTATGATATAAATATGCACCCAATACAATAGCATCCAGATTCATAAAACAAGTTCTTAGAAATTTACAAAAAGACTTAGAAGATCACATTAAAATAGTGGAAGATTTCAACACCCCACTGACAGCATTAGACAGATCTTTGAGGCAGTAAACTAATGAAGATATTCGAAACCTCAACTTGACACTCGACCAAATAGACCTAACAGATATCTACAGAACTCTCCACCCCCAAACAACAGAATATATATTCTTCTCATTTGCACATGGCAGATACTCTAAAATCGATCATATCATAGGCCGTAAAATAACTGTCAACTTTTCAGTAAATTCAAAAAATCAAAATCATACCAACCACACTTTGAGATATTAGCACAATAAAAGTAAAAAGCAATACTAAGAAGATTCATAAAATCATACAAAATACATGGAAGTTAAACAACCTGTTCCTGAATGAATTTTGGGTAAACAATGAAATTAAGGCAATAATCAAAAAATTCTTGAAACTAATGAAAATAAAGATACAACATACCAAAATCTCTGAGACATAGCTAAAGCAGTGGTAAGAGGGAAGTCTATAGTGCTAAACACCTGCATCAAGAAGTTAGAAAGATTTCCAATGAAAAACCTAACATGACATTTGGAGGAACTAGAAAAACAAGAGCAAACCAACCACAAGGCTAGCAGAAAAAAAGAAATAACCAAAATCCGAGCTGAATTGAATGAAATTGAGATGTGAAAAACCACACAAAATGTCACTGAAAGCAGAAGTTGGTTGTTTGAAAGAACAGCAAGATTGATAGACTGCTAGCTAAATTAATAATGAAGGCCGGTTGCAGTGGCCCATGCCTTAATCCAAGCACTTTGGGAGGCTGAGGGGGCTGGATCACTTAAGATCAGGAGTTTAAGACCAACCTGGCCAACATGGCAAAACTAAAATTAGCTGTGCATAGTGGATGGTGCCTGTAATCCCAGCTACTTGGGAGGCCAAGGCAGGAGAATTGATTGAACCCAGGAGGCAGAGGTTGCAGTGAGCTGAGATCACACCACTGCACTCCAGCCTGGGCAACAGAGAAAGACCTTGCTTGTCTCAAAAAATAATTAACAACAATAATAATAATAATGATAAAGAAAAAAAGAATATCCAAATAAATGCAATCAGAAATGACAAAGGAGGCATTGCCACCACCTTACAGAAATACAAAAACTCTCAGAGACTATTATAAGTGTTTGTATGCACACAAACTAGAAAACCTAAAAAAAATTGATAAATTCCTGGAAACATACAATCTCCCAAGGTTGAACAAGAAAGAAATTAAAACCCGGAATGGATGAATAATGAGTTCCTAAATTGAATCAGTAATAAAAAGACTACCAAGCAGAAAAAGCCAGGACAACACAGATTTATAGCAAAATTCTATCAGATATATAATGAAGAGCTAGTACCATTTCTACTGAGACAATTCCAAAAAATTGAGAAGGAACAACTCTTCCTAAAATCATGTTATGAGGCCACCATCATTCTGATACTCAAACCTGGCAGAGACATAACAAAAATAGAAAACATCAGGGCAATAACCCTGATGAACATAGATGCAAAATTTCTCAACAAAATACTATCAAACTGAATCCAGTAGCACATCAAAAAGCTATTTCACTGTAACCAAGTAGGCTTTATTCTTCCTATACAACATATTCAAATCAATAAATGTGATTTATCACATAAACAGAACTAAAAGAAAAAACTCTATCTCAATAGATCTATCTCGATAGATGTAGAAAATGCTTCTGATAAAATTCAACATCGCTTCATGTTAAAAACCCTCAATAAACTAGGCGTTAAAGGAACATAACTCAAAATAATAAAAGCCATCTATGACAAAACCCACAGTCAACATCATACTCTACGGACAAAAGCTAGAAGCTTTCCCCTCGAGAACTGGACCAAGACAAGGATGCCCACTCTCACCACTTCTATTCAGCATACTACTGGAAGTCCTAGCCAGAGCAATCAGGCAAGAGAAATAAATAAAAGGCATTCAAATAGAAAGAAAGTCAAATTATCTCTCTTCACAGATGATATAATTTTATATCTAGAAAACGCCATAGTCTCTGCTCAAGAGCTCCTACATTTAATAAACAACTTCAGCAAACTTTATGTACACAAAATCATTGTATAAAAATCACAAGCATTCTATACACCAACAACATCAAAGCTGAGAGCCAAATCAAGAGCACAATCCCAATTACAAAAGCCACACACACACACCCAAGTACACACACACACAAAATATCTACGAGCACAGCTAACCAGGGAGGTGAAAAATCCCTGCAACATAAATTACAAAACACTACTGAAAGAAATCAGAGATGACAAACAAAAATGGAAAAACATTCCATGCTCATGGATAGACAGAATCAGTATTATTATAATGGCCATACTGCCCAAAGTAATGTACAGATTCAATGCTAGTCCTATCCAACTACCAATGATCGTTTTCACAGAATTAGAAAAAGCTATTCTAAAATTTATATGGAACCAAGAAAGAGTTTGAATAGCCAAAGTAATCCTAAGCAAAAAGAACAAAGCTGGAGGCATCCTGTTACTTGACTTCAAACCATAGTACAAGGCTACAAAACAACATGATACTAGTACAAAACCAGACACATGGATAAGTGTTACAGAATAGAGAACCCAGAAATAAAAACATACACATACATCCAT
Source organism: Homo sapiens (assembly GCF_000001405.40). Classification (NCBI taxonomy): domain Eukaryota; kingdom Metazoa; phylum Chordata; class Mammalia; order Primates; family Hominidae; genus Homo; species Homo sapiens. The sequence goes on along the minus strand of NC_000008.11, from coordinate 136,697,743 downwards.
TTGATCTTCAACAAAGTGTACAAAAACCAGCAATGAGGAAAAGACTCTCCATTCAATAAATAATGCTAGAATAACTGGCTACTTGAAACCAGACCCCTTTCTTACACCATATACAAAAATCAACAGAAGATGGATTAAAGATTTAAATGAAAAACCTAAAACTATAAAATACCTCTAAGAAAATCTATGAAATATTCTGGACCTGGGCCCTGGCAAAGATTTCATGAAGAGGACTCCAAAAACAATTGCAACAAAACCAAAAATTGGCAAATGGACTGAATTAAACTAAACAGCATGTGCACAGCAAAAGAAACTATCAACAGAGTAAACAGACAATTTACAGAATGGGAGTAAACATTTACAAACTATGCATTCAACAAAGGCCTAATATGTAGGAAATTTAAATAATATAAATAGATTAACAAGTAAAGTACCAACAACCCCATTAAAAAGTGTGCAAAGCATATGAGCAGACACTTTTCAAAAGAAGATGTACATGTGGCCAACAAGCATATGAAAAACAGCTTCATATCGCTAATAATTACAGAAATGCAAATCAAAACCACCATGACACTGTATTCGTCCATTCTCATGCTGCTAATAAAGATATACTGAGACTTAGTAATTTATAATGGATAGAGGTTTACTTGACTCACAGTTCCACATGCTTCACGAGGTCTCACAATGATGGCAGAAGGCAAAGGAAGAGCAAAGGCCCACCTTAAACAGTGGCAGGTAAGAAAGCTTGTGCAGGGGAATTTCCCTTTATTAAACCATCAGATCTCATGAGACTTATTCATTATCACAAGAACAGCATGAGAAAGACCCGCCCCCATGATTCATTTACCTCTTACTGGAGTCCTCCCATGACAAATGAGAATTATTGGAGCTACAATTCAAGATGAGATTTGGGTGGGGACACAGCCAAACCATATTATTACACTCCTGACCCCTCCAAAATTTCACGTCCTCATATTTCAGAACAAATCATGCCTTCCTAAAAGTCCTCCAAGGTCTTAACTCATTTCAGCATTAACACAAAAGTCCCCAGTCTAAAGTCTCATCTGAGACAGGGCAAGTCCCTTCTGCCTACAAGCCTGTAAAATCAGAAACAAGTTAGTTACTTCCTAGATACAATGAGGATACAGGCATCAGGTAAATACACCCATTCCAAATGGGAGAAATTGGCCAAACCAAAGGGGCTACAGGCCATATGCAAGTCCAAAATCCAATAGGGCAGTCATTAAACTTTAAAGTTCCAAAATGATCTTCTTTGACTTCATGTCTTACATCCAGGAGATGCTGATGCAAGAGGTCCTTCCATGACTTTGGTCAGTTCCACCCTGTGGCTTGCTTGGCAGGGTATAGCCCCACTCCCAGCTGCTTTCATGGGCTAGTGTTGAGTGTTTGTGGCTTTTCTAGGTGCATGGTGCGAGCTGTTGGATGATCTACCATTCTGGTGTCTGGAGGATGGTGACCTTCTTCTCACAGCTCCTCTAGGCAGTGCACCACTGGGGACTCTGTGTGGGGGCTCTGACTCCACATTTCCCTTTCTCACTGCCCTAGTTCTCCATGAGGACTCTACCCCAGGTAAACTTCTGCCTGGACATCCTGATATTTTTATACATCCTTTGAAATCTAGGCGGAGGTTCTCAAACCTCAATTCTTGACTTCTGTGCACCCACAGGTTCAACACCACAGGGAAGCTGCCAAGGCTTGGGGTTTGCACACTCTGAAGCCATGGCCCAAGCTGTACCTTGGACACTTTTAGCCATGGCTGGAGTGGCTGGGATGCAGGGCACAAAGTCTCTAGGCTGCACACAGCAGGGGACCCCAGGCCAGGCCCAGGAAACTCATTTTTTTCCTCAGGAAACCCACTTTTTCCTCCTTGGCCTCTGGGTCTGTGATAGGAGGGGCTGCTGTGAAGGTCTCTGACATGTCCTGGAGACATTTTCCCCATTGTCTTGGGGATTAACATATGGCTTCTCATTACTTATGCAAATTTCTGCAGCTGGCTTGAATATCTCCCCAGAAAATGGGGTTTTGTTTCCTATCGCATCATCAGGCTGCAAAGTTTCTAAACTTTTATGCTCTGGTTCCTCTTGAATGCTTTACTGCTTAGAAATTTCTTCTGCCAGATACCCTAAACCATCTCTCTCAGTTTCTAAGTTCCACGCACCACTAGGGCAGGGGCAAAATGCTGCCTGTCTCTTTGCATATCAAAAGTCATTTTTACTCCAGTTCCCAACAACTTCCTCATCTCTGATACAGGAGAGGGGCAGGGAAGTGCTGGAAAGAAAAGGGCAGGGTCTCTGGAGAGGGCTCCACCTTCTGGGCTGTGCCCACCGACCTAGGTAAGAACAGAGACTCCTGTTTTTGCACCCAAATGTTGGATTTTCCAAGATCACTCTGGCCTACCATGCCTGCATCCTGTGCCTGTAAAAACCCCAAGACCCTCATGGGCTTGGATACAAGCAGCTGGATGTGGTGAAGAACCCATTGGCAGAGAGCACACAGGCGGCTGGACATCAAGAGGAGCAGAGTAGCATAGGAGCACACTGGAAGGCACCAGCAGATGCTGTCAGGCCATTGACCAGCAGAACCACACAGACACCGAGGGAAATTTGCCTGGGGCAGTTGGAGGTGAGTTCAGCTGCTGAGCAGCCCGGCTCCAGGGAAAAACCCTCTTCTGGCTCGTCTATCTGGGGAGAGCTACTGCCACCATTTAATAAAAGCTTGCACTCATTCTCCAAGCCCACATGTAATCCAATTTTTCCAATATACCAAGGGAACAACCCCAGGATACAGAAAGCCTTCTGTCCTTGCCATAAGGCAGAGGGTTTAATTGAGCTGATTAACACAAGCCACCCACAGATGGCAAAACTAAAAGAGCAACTGTACCACACGCCCACTGGGGCTTCAGGAGCTGTAAACATTCACCGCTAGATGCTGCCATGGGGTCGGAGCCCACGTGGCCCATGAGCCCACGTGGCCCAGTACCTGCCATCTGCATGCTTCCCTGAGAGGTTTGAGGAGCAGGACACCAAAGAAGGGAGCCACACCTCCTTCTCACACCCTGTGAGGGCGATAAAAGAACTTTTCCTGTTTCATTGCCATCTGAAACCACCTCAGGCTGGACTTCATTGTCCATATCACTATCAGCATTTTGGTCAAAGCCATTCAACAAGTCTCTAGGAAGTTCCAAACTTTCCCACATCTGTCTTCTGAGCCCTCCAAACCTCTAGGAAGTTCCAAGCTTTTCCACATTTTCCTTTCTTCTTCTGAGCCCTCTAAACTACTCCAACTTTTGCCTGTTACCCTGTTCCAAAGATGCTTCCACATTTTTGCATAGCTTTACAGCAGCACCCACTACCTTGGTACCAATTTACTGTATTAATCTGTTTTGATGCTGCTAATAAAGACACACCCAAGACTGGGCAATTTATAAAGGAAAGATGTTTAATCGACTCATAGTTCCACATGGCTAGGGAGGCCTCACAGTCATGGCAGAAGGTGAAGGAAGAGAAAAGTCACGTTTTACATGGTTGGAGGCAAGAAAGCATGTGCAGGGGAACTCCCCTTTATAAAACTATCAGATCTCAGGAGATTTATAAAACTATCAGATCTCAGGAGACTTATCCACTATCACAAGAACAGCACAGGAAAGACCTGCCCCCATGATTTAATTACCTCTCACCAGGTCCCTCCCACAACACATGGGAATTATGGAAGCTACAATTAAGTGGGGACACAGCCAAACCATATCAGATACCATATCACACCAGTCAGAGCTATTAATAAAAAGTCAATAACAGATGCTGGCAAGGTGGCAGAGAAAAGGGAACACTTAAATGCTGCTGGTGGGAATGTAAATTAGCTCAGCCATGGTGGAAAACAGTTTGGCAATTTCTAAAAAAGCTTAAAACGAAACTACCATTCTACCCAGCAATCTCATTACTGGGTATATATGTAAAGGAAGATAAATCATTCTACCATAAAGAAACGTGCATGTGTACGTTGATCACACCACTATTCCCAATAGCAAAGACATAGAATCAACCTAGATGACCATCAACAGTGTAATAGGTAAGGAAAATGTGGTATGTGTATGCCATGGAATACTATGCAGCCATAAAAAAGAACACGATAATGTCCTTTGCAGGAACATGGATGGAGATGGTGGCCATCTTTCTAAGCAAACTGATGCAGGAACAGAAAACCAAACACTGCATATTCTCACTTATAATTGGGAGTCAAACATGGACACCAAGAGGGGAATAATGGACACCAGGATGTACTTGAGGATAGAGGGTCAGAGGAGGGTGAGGATCGAAAAACTACCTATCAAGTATTATATTTATTACCTGGGTAATGAAATAATCTGTATACCAAGCCACTGTGGCATGCAGTTTACCTATATAAAAACCTGCACATGTACCACTGAACCTAAAATAAAAGTTAAAAAATATAATAAATAAATAAATATCACATTAAATTGTATCACTCTTTCACCATTCTACCTCCACAAAGGAAGGGATGAGACTTTTTACCAGTATTTGGGAAATTTTTCATCCCGCTTCCCTTTATCATTAAATTTGGCAGGCATTAGCATTTACTTCTGCCACATTGATAAGCATTTCCCAATCTCTCTAGCCGTAAATTCTTAATGGTCAAACTAAAGACATTTCAAATTATATCTAATACACGGAACCATGAGATGATAAAGTTGACAACTTTTGTTCACTTAATACATTTGGTAGAAAGCCAATTTTGCCTTCTTTTTTAAAATATTATATTGAAATAATTTTTTTCTAATTATATATTGATTTTGTTCTGTGTTAATATTTTTACTCTGAACTTTTTTCTTTAAAAATTAGAAAAAAGTTCATGTGCATCTCACTGTTTTACAGTAAAAATCAACTTACAAGTTGAGTAAACACTGACAAAGTTTTGTCCAATGTGCTGCAATCTAAGATTTCTAAAATGCAAATCCCATTATTTTGCTTTTTATCAGTTATCATCCCTATTGGACATAATATAGTAGAAATTACTTAATTAAAGATTATTTGTTTTGAAATATAGCTTACATTACTCAGTAAAGGATCTGAAATACCTCATTTAGCATCTTTTTTAAATTTGTCAAATATAAACAATAACAGCTGCCTAGCCCATTTGCAGGGGTGGTGAGGGTTACATGGTGTCTGATTCTGGGCAGGGAAAATAGTCTTTTATAATAAACTGGTCTGGTGTCAAATAAACTCAATGCAAATATGACTCATATATATACTTTTTTTTTTTTGAGACAGAGTCTCATTCTGTCACCCAGGCTTGAGTGCAGTGGTGTGATCTTGGCTCACTGCAACATACACCTCCTGGGTTCAAGGGAGTTTCCTGCCTCAACTTCCCAAGTACCTAGGACTATGGGCACATGCCACCACACCCAGCTAATTTTTTATATTTTTAGTAGAGACAGGGTTTCACTGTGTTAGCCAGGATTGTCTCAATCTCCTGACCACATGATCTGCCTGCCTCGGCCTCCGAAAGTGCTGGGATTGCAGGCATGAGCCACCATGCTCGGCCATGACTCATATTTTACTACCTATGTAACTGAAATTAAAATATACAATTCTTCGAGATTTAGTTTTCTCATTTGAATATGTATATAACTATATAAATATCCAATTGTTGGTGTCAACAATTTAAATAAGATAATGAATTCAAAGTGCTTAACACGTGTTACATCCTATTAACTATTGCTATTTTAAATGTGTTACTTTACTCTGACTGCCACCCTAGTTCCTGCCCTCAAGTATCCTGGAATTTGATGTAATAGAATTTTAGTTAAAAACTAAGCAAAGCATGGGGCAGCACAGGGTAAGTGCGCTAATGGAGGGAGAAGTTCAATGTTCAAGTGTGTACTAAGCTCAGCCAGCTGTACCATTTCCTTAGAGCTGAATTAAACAGTCCCGTGGTGTCGGAATTAGAGCTGCATTCAGGCTGCTCAAGAGTGCAAAATGATTTATTGAGTAATGCTCTGCTGCTCCAACAGGACCTCATTTGCATGAAAAAAGAAGAATGTGATCCTTTAGTACTTCATTTTCAGAGAACTGCTTTCTTTAAGCCTTATTATTCGTTTGCTTTCACCTGGGAAGAAGTTGTCACTTTAGAAATACATGTTGTAATCACATGGCAACCAAAGGAGTGAAAGATAGGAGAAAACAATTTGGCCTTGAATGATTTCCTATTTGGGTAGAAAGACTGAGTTGTTGGTAGCTCTCATATTTGTGTGTCTGGAATAAGTGTCTTCTACACAAACTTTATTCAGGAAACTCTGAGAGCCAGACTAAATGTTGTAACATGTGAAAGCTCAACCCAGCTGGAGCAGAGTGTACAGGGAGCTCATTACCACTTTCAGACTTGCTTTGCAGGGGCCAAATGGACACTGCTGACCTGGATGATCTCCCCATCGGTCATGATACTGCTGGAAGCCCTCACTCTATTACTGTGCCCTAACCAACTTCAGTCCATTCTCATATTACTCAATCCATTCTATGTGCTATACAGAACTGTATTAGTTCATTTTCATGCTGCTGATAAAGACACACTCAAGACTGGGCAATTTACAAAAGAAAGAAGTTTAATTGGACTTAAAGTTCCACGTGGCTGGGGAAGCCTCACAATCATGGCAAAAGGCAAGGAGGAGCAAGTCACATCTTACATGGATGGCAGCAAGCAAAGAGAGAACTTGTGCAGCAGAACTCCTCTTTTTAAAACCATCAGGTCTCATGAGACTTATTCACTACCAGGAGAACAACACAAGAAAGACTTGCCCCCATGATTCAGTTAACTCCCACCAGGTCCCTCCCACAACATGTGCGAATTCAAGATGAGATTTGGGTGGGGACACAGCCAAACCATATTAAGAAGTAAGTGGAGGAAACCAAACAGATACTTAAGCATGATGTATTCTGAGAAGGCCTGGTGGAGATATTCAGAGACTTGTTGTCACAAAAAGCAAGAGACTTATGTCCAGTCATTTCATCTCTGACATTGCATGGGAGATAATTGAATCATGAAGGTGGCTGCCCCCATACTGGTCTCCTGGTGGTGAATAAGTTTCATGAAATCTGATGGTTTTATAAATGGGAGTTCCCTTGCACATGCTCTCTTGCCTGCCACCATGTAAGACGTGTCTTTGCTCTTCATTTGCCTTCTGCCATGATTATGAGGCTTCCCCAGCCATGTGGAACCGTGAGCCCATTAAACTTCTTTCCTGTAAAAGTTACCCAGAATCGGGTATGTCTCTATTAGCAGAACAGGCTAATACAGTAAATTGGCACTGGTAGAGTGGGGTGCTGCTATAATGATACCTAAAAATGTGAACATAATTTTGGAATGGTGTAACAGGCAGAGGCTGGAATAGTTTGGGCTCAGAAGAAGACCAAAAAATGTGGGAAAGTTTGAAACTTACTAGAGACTTGGAGGGCTCAAAAGACAGAAAGATGTGGAAAAGTTTGGAACTTCCTGGGGACTTGTTGAATGGCTTTGACCAAAATTCTGATAGTGATATAGACAATAAAGTTTCAGTTGGGGTGGTCTCTGATGGGATGGAGATGAGAAACTTCTTGGGAAATGGAGTAAAGGTCACTCTTGCTATGAAAAGAGACTCACAGCATTTTGTCCCTGCCCTAGAGATCTGTGGAACTTTGAACTTGAGAGCAATGATTTAGGGTATCTGGCAAAAGAAATTTCTAAACAGCAAAGTGTTCAAGAGGAAGTAGAGCATAAAAATTGAAAAAAAAAATTGCAGACTGAGGATTCAATAGAAAATAAAACCCCATTTTCTGGGGAGAAATTCAAGCAGGCAGCAGACATTTGCATAAGTAACAAGGAGTCAAATGGTAATCCCCAAAACAATGGGGAAAATGTCTTCAGGACATGTCAGAAACATTTGCCAGCAGCCCCTCCCATCACAGGCCTGGAGGCCTGGGAAGGACAACTGGTTTCTTGGTGAGTGCAGCCTCAGAACTTTGTGCCCTGAATGCCTGCTGCTCCAGCCATGGCTAAAAGAGGCCAAGGTACAGCTCAGGTGGTGGTTTCAGAGGGTGCAAGCCCCAAGCCTTGGCAGCTTTCATGTGGTGTTGGGCCTGTGGGTACACAGAAGATAAGAATCAAGCTTTGGGAACCTCTGCTTAGATATCAGAGAATGTATGGTAACACATGAATGTCCAGGCAGAAATTTGCTGGAAGAGTGGGGCCCTCATGAAGAAACTCTGCTAGGGCAGTGCAGAAGAGTAACATGGGGTTGGAGCCCCCACAAAGAGTACCCACTAGGGCACTGCCTAGTGGAGCTGTGAGAAGAGGGCCACTGTCTTCCAGACCCCAGAATGGTAGCTCCACTGACAGCTTGCCCTGTGCACCTGGAAAAGCCACAGACACTCAACATCAGCCCGTTAAAGCATCTGGAAGAGGGGCTGAACCCTGTAAAGCCACAGGACAGCAGCTGTCCAAGGCTGGGGAGCCCACCTCTTGCATCAGTGTGAACTGTATGTGAGACATAAAGTCTAAGGAGATAGTTTTGGAACTTTAAGATTTGACTGCCCTCTAGGATTTTGGACTTGCATGAGGCCTGTAGCTCTTTCGTTTTGGCCAATTTCTCTCATTTGAAATGGGTGTATTTACCCAATGCCTGTATACCCATTGTATCTAAGAAGTAACTAATTTGCTTTTGATTTTACATGCTAATAGGCAGACGGGACTTGTCTCAGATGAGACTTTGGACTGTGGATTTTTGAGTTAATGCTGAAATGAGTTAAGACTTTAGGGGACTATTGGGAAGGCATGATTGGTTTTGAAATGTGAGGACATTAGATTTGGGAGGGGCCAGGAATGGAATGATATCATTTGGCTCTGTTCCCACCCAAATCTCACCTCAAATTGTAATAACCCCAGGTGTCAAGGATGGGGCCAGGTGTAGATAATTGAATCATGAGGGCGGTTTCCTCCATTACTGTTCTCATGGTAGTGAATAAGTCTCATGAGTTCTGATGGTTTTATAAATGGGAGTTCCCTTGCACAAACTCTCTTCCCTGCCACCATATAAAACATGATTTTGCTCCTCATTAATCTTTTGCCATGATTGTGAGGTCTCCCCAGCCATGTGGAACTGTGAATTCATTATACCTCTTTCCATTATAAATTACTCAGTCTCCAGTATGTTTTTATTAGCAATGTGAGAACAGACTAATACACCAATCCTGAAATGGACTATGCTGTACTCTAACTGTAGCTCTTATTAATCATTACTGATCTTAACCAAATCCATCTTTATGCAAACCTTTCACCTGGAAGCCACCCATCTCGAATACCTGTTGTTGCTATTTGCTAATGCCTAACCATTTCCTGGTGAAAACAATATGCAGGTAATTAATATGCATCGGAGAAATGCATACTTTCTCTTTCTTCCCAATGGCCATCAAGCTATTTATGGAATGCAATTTGTTAGCAATAATCATTGGACTTTAAATCTCAACATCTCAATGAAATTAAAGTTCATTTAAATTCTTAACTTGCATTTTAAATATAAATGTTCTTAAATAATTTCCAAATCAGTGCTTTCATATAGATAATTAGAAAATATAAGCACAATGGATTTAAATTCCTCCACCACACAAAACCAAAATCGAAACCTTTAAATATAACCAGGTCCATAAATTTTGAAAAAGATGACCTAGGTTAAAATCATAACTCTGTTGCTTTTTGTTTTTATTTCAGACACGTTACTTGAGCTCCCAGGGCCTCAGATTCCTTAAAAAAATAATGATCAATACCTCATGGTTTGATTCCTTATCAGATTTTTCCCAACTAAACCTTCAATTTCTTCAAAACAGAGCCTTTAGGTTATTTGACTTTTATGCTCAATTTCAAATAAGTTATTAAGTTTATAGTATGTGCTTCATTCACACTGAGTGAATGAGGTTGCATTTGATAGATTAATTTATATTTCTGCTATACAGAACTGTATATAAATATAAATAAATCAACACAGACTATTGATGTATAAATAAATCAATACAGACTATTGACAGAATGAGATAGATAAATGGATAAGACATGAAAACAAAAAATAATTTATGATAGGTGTTCCCAGCTATGATATTCTCAAGACCCTTCAGGCTTTATTGGTCATACTGCTACTTCCAGCAGTAACACTTTACCAATCATAGAAGCCCCATGGTTCCATCTTTTCTCCAGCATAATATTGGCTCTCAAAGCTGGCCACGGGGATTGCTACCAGCTGCTTCTATTTCAACAATCATTTTCTAAAATTGTATTTTCTTTTGAAAAGTCTGCCCTGTCTCTCTCTATCTATCATCTGTCTATCTATCTATCTATCTATCTATCTATCTATCTATCTATCTTTCATGTGCGTCCATGTGAAGAGACCACCAAACAGGCTTTGTGTGAGCAATAAAGCTTTTAATCACCTGGGTGCAGGCGGGCTGAGTCTGAAAAGAGAGTCAGCGAAGGGAGATGGGGTGGGGCCGTTTTATAGGATCTGGGTAGGTAAAGGAAAAAGGGGGGTTGTTCTCTGGCGGGCAGGAGTGGGGGTCACAAGGTGCTCAGTAGGGGAGGTTTTGAGCCAGGATGAACCAGGAGAAGGAATTTCACAAGACAATGTCATCAGTTAAGGCAGGAACCGGCCATCTGGATGTGGACGTGCAGGTCACAGGGGATATGATGGCTTAGCTTGGACTCAGAGGCCTGACACTATCTATCTATCTATCTATCATCTATTTATGGGAATGTACTGTGAACATACTTTAAGGAACGTTTATAGTCTCAGTTGTAGGGTTCTCTTGCAATCTTCCACAGAAAAGAAAGCAAAAATGACTGACATTAATAGAAACATATTTTAATAGAAACAGAGCTGAATTAAATGTAGCAATAAGAAAGCAGTATTAAATTTTGCACTGCCTAAAAAAACCATTTACTCAGCTTGAAATTCAATTCTTCTTACAACAAATGTTTGATAAAAAAGGAGCAGTAGGTGAAAAATGTCAAATTAGTGATGCTACACAGCACAGTAAATGCTAATGCTTCCACATTAAGTGGCCATCCAAGAATTAAAGATTTAAAAAGGCTACATTGACCATCTACTTAAAAAAAAATCTCAACACACTTATGTTTTATGTGATTACTACAAAATAGTCAGGCATAATTACTCACCAGGATTTGAGGTCAAATTAGGAAGGAACAATACTAGTGAAAGTATCTGTAGCGAAGATAAGTCAAATTCTTCAATTTGCTTTTTAAAAGTTATACTTTCTAAATTGAGAGATTATTATTATTATTATCATTATCATTTTTCAATTTAGGTTTGGGTTACAGGTGCAGGTTTGTTATACAGGTTAACTCATGTCACAGGGGTTTGTTGCACAGATGTTTTCATCACCCAGGTACTAAGCCTAGTACCCAATAGTCATTTTTTCTGATCCTCTGTCTCTTCCTACCTTCCACTTTCAGGTAGGCCCCAGTGCATATTGTTCCCCTCTTTGTGTCCATGTGTTCTTATCATTTAGCTCCCACTTACAGTGAGGACACGTGGCGTTTGGTTTTCTGTTCCTGTGCTAGTTTGCCAAGAATGATGGCCTCCAGCTTCACCCATGTATGGAGAGATTCTTAGATGGAGTCATCATATTGACCCTTTTTGCTGGTTTTTGGCCCTCCCCTAATTCTTCATTTCTGACTTGGCTCCTGCTCTTTATAAATTACTCACAGCTTGTTTCTCTGGCTCCTGCTTCATTAGTTCCCTCACAAACTTTCGTCAATTTTTTTTTTATTTGTCTGTCTGTCTCTCTGTTCACCTATTTTGTTTTTCGACCCTCTTCTGGCTTTTAGGACTCAAATCTTTAATAATGATTTGTGAAGTCCCTGTGATAATAGAATTGGGGCAAAAAAGTATCAAAAGTGTCAAACTAAAAATTGTACTTGATAAAGTTAAACAGTCAAGGAAGACTTTTTCAAGGCTATTGTAATAGGGAAGAAAGACCGGAACACAGTCTACATTCAACCTTCTGAAATAAAGGATGAGAGAGAGTTTAAGGTGTGGTATGTGTAATGGAAAAGAACTAGAGAGTGTTGGAAGGGATGCTGATGAATGGGAGGTATTGAACATATTGAGTATTTTCTAAGTTTGCAAATGTTACTGGCTCTGATTAGACAAGCTGTGTTTGCTAATTGGTGCCCAGTGAAGTTAGGTTTCTACCTTCAACAGAAACTGAGACATAGGGGTACTATCTTTCTTATTCGTTACACTTCAGTGGCTCCTAGGTTCCTGAAAAAGACATTCCTTTGCTGTAAATCTGGCAAGAAGCTTTTTTTAAAAAGTGACCTATATGTTTCAAAGGGGCAGAGAACTAACTTAAATTACATGTTTTCTAAAGGAAATGCACTAAGAAAAAAAAAAAAAAAGATCGTGCCTAGAGTTAGGAAGATTGTCTAAAGTTCAGTTCAGCCGAGAGAAAGATTAAGGTATCTTGGTCAAGAGAAAGCTTCATAAAGTAGGATTTACATTTCTTTACCAGGGTTCTTTCTTTGCTTGCTTGCTTATTTGTTTTTTTAACCTAATTACTGTATATCCTATCTTCTTCAGTTTTTAGGGGATATTATACTTAAAAACAAGCAAAACATTTAATTACAAATATCTTTAGGGAATACAGGATTGAACCCAACATTTTTTTTTTCTGGAAAGATTTCAGAGTCTCACTATACTGATGTGCCCTATAACTCTTACAAAGAGGATCATAATGTACAGTGATGAACATGTTTTTTATAGAAACATCCAGGTATCATTTCCTGGAGTCAAATAAAGAAATGGGGCCGGGCGCGGTGGCTCACGCCTGTAATCCCAGCACTTTGGGAGGCCGAGGCAGGTGGATCATGAGGTCAGGAGATCGAGACCATCCTGGCTAACAAGGTGAAACCCCGTCTCTACTAAAAATACAAAAAATTAGCCGGGCGCGGTGGCGGGCGCCTGTAGTCCCAGCTACTCGGGAGGCTGAGGCAGGAGAATGGCGTGAACCCGGGAAGCGGAGCTTGCAGTGAGCCGAGATTGCGCCACTGCAGTCCGCAGTCCGGCCTGGGCGACAGAGCGAGACTCCGTCTCAAAAAAAAAAAAAAAAAGAAATGGTCACTTTGGAATATACAATTAATCCAAAACAAGTTTTGGTAATTTATGTCATTTCTCTGTCTGGAGAGGACAAAAGAATTACTAGAGAAAGTATGCCAAAATTTTAAATTTGCTATTTTAAACATTTATTTGTCAAACTAAGGAATAATTTGATTAAATAATTGTTTGCCTTCTTTTATTGAAGTCTTGTGCTAATTATTTTATATAAAATACAAAATGTCAAAATTGAAAGAATGTAATATAAATAAATCTGATTATTTTTCAATAATTTTTATTTTAGGCAGACATTAGCTAACAATTTGATATTTACAAGATGAAAAGGTGACACATAATTTATTCTGTGAATCTTCAGACTTGGATTTCAGCTGGATCAATGTAATCTAAATAAACTTCTATTTTAATAGTTAATGTTAACCAAATAGCCTAAAAATGACTGTGCAATTTAATTTTACTGAATGATTTTGATAATGCCCATTCTTACCTCATCTACATCACTGTGATAAAGGCAAATTGAAAGGCCTGTTTTTCTAAAGAGTAGTATTTTATTTCCCCTCTATATGATCATCTTATGGAAACGTTGAACTTAATATGTGAAATAATGTACACAAAAATTGCATAAGTAACTAGCTTTTCCCACTAAGAGATACCAAATTAGGCAGGTAGATCTGGAAAAACAGGACACAGCCCCAGCAAGCACGCGACTTGGTAAAACCTTTTTGCCACTGTGGACCTGAGAGTCCTTGTATCTACCTAGAGACATCTAGCAGCCCAGTCTGGTCAAATGCCTTCTTCCCTGACAGGCAGAATCCTTAGAGATTGGAATGTCCAGAGGCACTAGATGTTTTAAAAGGTCAAAATAACACCACAAAGGCTCTGAAAAATCACCAGAAGAATGACCTACAAAACAGATAAGAACTTAACATTTTGATATATATATACAAAATTAACAAATGCAACAACCAATCACTGTATAAATGTTTAAGAAATCAGAAATAGTGGAGAACTCCTTAACTTAACAAAACAACATGTACAAAAAGTCTACAGCTAATATCATACTTATAATGGTGAGAAAACCTGAATGCTCTCCAAGAATAAGAAAAAAACCATTAAAAAAAAGGCAGGAATGTCCTTTCCACCAATCTTGTTTATCATCATGCTGGAAGCTCTAACCACTGTAAAATGACAAGTTAAAAATAACTAAAAGGTAAACAGTTTGGAAAAAAAGATAATGGTCCCATTTTCAGATGACATAATTGTTTACATAGAAAATCTTAAGAAATCTACAACATTCTAAAATTAATAAGTGAATTTCACAAGCTGCAGAACATATAATCAATATGCAAAATATTAATCACATTTCTATGTTATCAAATTTGCAGAAACTGAAATTCAATATGAAGTATGATTAAAATTGATTCACAGAAAATGAAATATATGTGTATACTTAAAAATATACAGAATTTATATATTCAACATTATGTGATGCTATGAAATAAACCAAAGAACATCTTAATAAATTCAGAAAAAGAGCATATTTCAGGTTTGGGATGTTCAACATAATAAAGATACCTATTCTCCCAAATTTCATCTTCACATTAAGTGCAATTCCTAAAAAAAAAATCTAGCAAGAATTCTTGCAGACACAAACAACTTTATTTTAAAATGTATATGGAAAGACATAGGCTGGAGCAGACTAAAAAAACTTAACAAAGAAGAATAAAATGAGAGTTATCAACTCTAACCAGTATTAAGACTTACTATGTAGCTACTGTAATCAAGGCAATTTTGTAATTCATAGATTAATGGAACTGAATAGAGGACTCAGAAACAGAACTATTCAAATATACTAAATGGGTTTTCTATAGAGGAAAAGAACTAGTTCAACAGAGGAATGATAGCATTTTCACCAAATGGTGCTGGGCAATTGGACATCAATAGGCAAAAAGATGAACCTCATTCTAAATCTCCCCCTTTAAACAAAAGTAACCTTAAAATGGATCACCATTTAAATGTGAGTTGTAAAATCAAAGGTATTAAAATACAGGATACATTTTCAGTATCTAAGGATATGCAATGTGTTCCTAGAATTGACATGAAAAGCATAATCCGTAACAGAATAAATGATATATTGGACCTTTTAAAAACAACAAAAAAAAGCGAAGTGGATGGAAATGAAAGTTACAGAATGATTAAAGAAAGAAAAAATGAAGGATCTTTATGGTGATGGAACTGTTCAGTACCTTGACTCTGGTGGTGGATACACAAATCTACACATGGTAACACTGTAAGAACAGATATACACACACATTGAATATTTGAGATATTTTATAAATCTTCTTAAGATTGTTGTATCATATCGAGTGCATTAATACAGCATTGTATCAATATCAGTACTGGATTTCACTAAAGAAAGGCCTAAGGCTGCAATGATTAGTAGGTGTCAGGGTCCTGATCTGAACCCAGGCAGTTTGGCATCAAAGCCTGCTTTTAACCACCATGCATCCTGCCCCTTACAAAGGAAGGGTCACCAAGCTAAAAATCAGGACACAACTTGAATTTTTATTCTGCTAAATCTTCTCTGAGTAATTTGTGAAAGTTGTTATTTTTTATCTAAGTAGTATATTTTATAAGGACTTAGGAGTACAGCTTCTGCTTATTAGATAGACCTGAGTTTAAATTCGGTATATGTGACTTTGGGCAAATTACTTAACTTTTCTGAAATTCCTTACTTCTCAAGTCTACCATTCCCAAGAAATGTTTTCCATATTAGGTGAGATCATACTTGTAAAGTGTTTTGTTCAGCACTGGGGCATAGAAAATATGCAATATATTATGTTCTTCATTTACTCCAAAGGCCAATAAAGGAATTGCAAATGAGCATTTCATCTCTGAGATTGCATGATACAAATATCAACTTTTAAAATAGTATTAAAATTATTTATTTTCAAGGTTTTATCATTACAAAGATTTTGTAAAATTTATATGACTGTGATTTATTAGTGAATATGTCATTAGTTGTCACCAATTTTGAAATATATTACTCATAAATTTAAATATCTCTCAGTGTAAGAATGAGTTCAGTTTGAGCTTTATTTCTTTTTTATTTTTAGTTTTTATGCTTCACATTACTGAGAACTTTCATACAAAAGAATAAGTGTATGGAAATGGGGGAGGTTTTGTTTTAGTAATATCTCCCAATTCTTTGAATTCCTATCAAGTTATAGGTCACAAATCACATAGTACTCCCTCATCATTGTATTAATCTCTTAGCTGCCAAGTCAATTCAAATCGTTATCTTGTTGAAATGAAAGAACTGAAATCTGACTCGCTAAATAATTAGTTACCATAAGAGTCATAACTTTGCCAATATTAACACTGCCATTATTACTAACTGTTATCACCTCTTAATAAATTTCTGATTTTCCATTTATTTTCAGATTAGGAAAATGCAGAGATAGCAAAAAGCATGTTACAAATCATCTAACGAATAAGCAGGAGGGCCAAATTGACAGCAAGGTCTTTATTCAAGGGATGATATCTTGACCAATCCAATATGTTTTGGAGATGTCTACCCTCCAGGGCAATGCCCCATGGAAGTGTCTGGACAGGTAAGAGGCAAGCTCTTCTGTGAAATGAAAGAACAACTGTGAAAGTGGGGAAGGCAGGATTGCTTCAGAGGCCCCTTATTGGACAGACCAACACTAAGAAAGAGGAAATTCAAAAGATCTTGTAGTGAACTCTCTTAATACTGTTTATGCCACCTCTTGTCATCCTAGAGATGCATCTGCCCAGGTTAGGAGAATTCAGGTGGAGATGCCCATGATGTATTTCCAGAGCATCTGGCTGTCAGATGTGACTGGAGCCTAATACGTAAAATAAAAAAAAGCTTGAGACCAGATTGTGACAGCATCTTACACATGCTTACAGTCGTGGCTTATGCCAAATTCACTGATGCATTCATTCATACATGTGCCAGCATGTGCATTCCATAAGGTTTTAGGCTCAAATATGTGCCAGGCACCCAGCTAAACCAGTGATTCTTCATCTGCCAGGTGACATAAGATATCTAGAGATGAACAAAATTGAAGTACTGGATCAGACTCTCCTAGGTTTTTATTTATACTTTTTAACTTATAGAGGACATTTCTAAATCTGGCCAGAAAAATCAACATGTGTAGGGAAGTGTAATAGGAAGACAACCCATAGCCAGTCCCAAGCAAGGAGACACTGACAAGTTAGAGGAAGGAGACAGGCATCCCCTTGAGCAAGTAAGTGCAGCAGGAGCTGGGAGAACGACACAGAGTGCCGCAGGGCCACGCAACAGCATCCTGTGCTGCATCTCAAGACGCAACACACTCTGTGCATCTTCCTGTCTCCCTCACCCACCCCAAACCCCGCCCCGCTTCATCCGAACCTCACATGTGTCATGGAGAGTGGCGGGCACAGACAGACAGAACTCATTTAATGAGAAGACACCAGTGTGCACTTTCACAATGCCAACGGCATCTGGTGCAGTTCAGTTAAATCCCAGCAAGATTACTCCTGCCCCAGTTTGCTTCAGATATTGTTTTATTTATTGTGTATTATCATATTGTAAATTACTTTTCCTATTTGATTTTCCTGTCTCCTTAATCATCAGGCGCCTCATCCCAGTCAGTGGCAATTTCAAGGAAGATCTGCGTGTGGGTATTAAATTGGCACTCTTTTAGGATCTGATCTTCAGGAGATGCATTGATTCATTTACTTTTTCATCAGTCACTCATTCAATGCACTCCTCTTGTGACTTGAGCTGGATGAGACACACGGCTTTGGGGTTGAGGAATGAGGAAACGACTGTTATGTTTCCCAGAGTAGGTGGAAAGGCCAGTCAAGCACTTAGTCTAACCTTTTCTCTTAAGAAATTTGAACTTTAGAGAGGTGAAGTGACTTAGTCACATAGCTCACCAATGGCTAGATAATAATATAATATTTTGTATTGCTCTTTATGTTTTATGTTTTCTTTTCTTTTTTTTTTTTTTTTTGAGATGGAGTTGTGCTGTCAGCCAGGTTGGAGTACAATGGCATGATCTCTGCTCACTGCAACCTCCGCTTCCTGGGTTCAAGCGATTCTCTTGGTTCAGTCTCCCAAGTAGCTGGGATTACCGGCATGCACCACCATGCCCTGCTAATTTTTATATTTTTAGTAGAGGAGGAGTTTCGCCCAGTTGGCCAGGCTGATCTCGAACACCTGACCTCAGGTGATCCACCCGACTAAGTGTCCCACGGAGTTGGGATTACAGGCATGAGCCACTGCACCCAGCCATGTTTTCTTTCTTTATCACATATTTATGCAAGAGATTATATATGCCTCTTAATAAGCAAAAAGATACCTGGGGTTGCCTGTATTAGTACCAGCTGATGCAAATTAGCACATGGAGGACCCTGAATGAGGGCTTTATTTTTATTTTATTTTTTATTTTACTTATTTATTTATTTATTTTTTAACGACAAGGTGTCACTCTGTTGCCCAGGCTGGAGTGGTGTTATCTTGGCTCACTGCAACCTCTGCCTCCTGGACTCAAGCTATCTTCCCACCTCAGCCTCCAGAGTAGCTGGTGCTACAGGCATGCACCACCACATCCAGCCAGAGGGTTTTATAAATGGATCCTATTGGTACTGTTTATCTTTTGAAGCCCTAATTTAATCAGAAAGCCATAACTGAATTCAGGGGAGGCTGGAGAATGTAGCCTAGTTGTGTGCCCCGAAAAATAAATGCTTCATTTTAAAAGCATTTATTATTATAAAGAACACATATTATAAAAAAGAATTTATTTTTGTCAGATACTGGCAATCTCTGTTACAGTATAGATTTATGTTCACCAAGTATTCATTTGCATCTGTCTTCTTAAACATAAAACATGAGATCATGCTTCCTTAAAAAAGATGGCTCAGCATCCCACCAAGTTGCCATAGCCAACTAAATGACTGGAATTTTTGGATGAAGACCGAGTCTCTATTATGTCCAGATGTGGTTCCTCCTGCTTTAGAAAATGATGAACTATAAAGTTGCACTATAAAGATCAGCCATCTTTACTGCCCGTGTAAGTGTGCATACATTCAAGCATGCACACAAACACACAAGTGTACACAATATCAGAATAGGAATAGGATAAAATAGGATAAACCCATTTAAAAAACATGCATTAAGGAAAAATATCTATATATGATATACCAAATTATGTCAAGGAACTTTTAACCTACGTTTTCATCTAGGAGTTTTATGGTTTTAGATCTTACATTTAAGTCTTTAACCCATTTTGAGTTAATTTTAGTATATGATGTTAAGTAAGGATCTAACTTCTTTCTTTTGCATATGGATATCCAGTTTTTCCAACACCATTTATTGCAGAGACTTTCCTTTCCCTGTTGTGTATTGTTGGCACTTTTGTTAAAAATTAGTTGGTCATATTATGGGAGTTTATTTCTGGGCTGTCTATTCTATTCTATTGGTCTATATACATGTTTTCATGTCAGTACCTTACTCTTTTGATTGCTATAGCTTTATAATATAGTTTGAGATCAGAGGATGAGCTTCTCATATTTTATATAAGGTGGTTCTCAGTTTTCATATGCACCAGTTAAATTCACAGAGTAAGAATAAGAAGCCTACTTGTCCTTCGCTTTTTATGTGGTGATCACCTACCTCTTGGCAATGTACAACACTGGGTTTTTTATTTGGACACAGAATTGGAGCTCTTAGTATTCCATTCTCTGCCAATCCCTGTGTACAAGCTTGTGCCTCTCTCTGTAATTATCTTCTCCCATCTCTACTGGTTTATTTTTGCCATTCAGATCTCTGAAATTAAATGTCACCTTCTCTGGGCACCTGGTCCAAGGTTACCTGGCAGTTACTCTTAAACCAGCATTAAATTTACTTCCAAAAAAGTATCAGCATCTAAAATTATCTCTCCATTTATTCATTCATAGTCTGCCTCCTTCCACTTGAAGCCAAGTTCCTGACAGCTGGGATTCTGTCTCATTCATTGCACTTATATTCATCACCTGAATAATATCTAGTATATATTTGTTCAGTAAATGTTTGTTTACTGAATAATTAAGTTATTAGTAAGTCATCGCTCTACTTTGAGCCTCAGCAGCTTCGCTGTGGTTTTGTTCACATGTATCTTTAAACTGGCCATCAACATTCTCTAAAGTCTGAAAGCTTAGTTCTCAGAAGCAGAATGAGGGAGTGGTTAAGAGAGGCATTTTATTGTAAGTTATGCATTGGTTATACTGCCAGCTGTCACTTACTATGAATAGCCACAGGGCAATTATACCTTCTTTCTAATTCTTATTTTATATATTTGTAAAATTATAATAGTTAACAAATATCCATGGTGGGCTGTTACATGCAGTAAATGTTACAGTACAAATAAAATACTATGTTGTTCAGTAAAGGTTTACTTATGCTACTATTCATATTTTAAATTTTAGTATCTCTTTGTCCCAGGACATTTTTTAAAGAGAGCATGGTTGGTTGAACCTGAAAACAATAGGATATCTGATTAAGGCAGGGGCCAGCTCTTAGTGTGTCAGGAACATCAACGTCCATCAGTCTTTCCTATTGCTGATCAGTGGTGGCCCACGACCACTCCACATTTTTAATAAGTTTGAGGTGTCAGTCGTTCATCCCCAGAAGGCAGCCAGATGCTCCTCTAACTTTCAGTGCCATAGATGTCTTTACATTTTAAATACAGGGTGTTATGTCTCATTAATTATGGGTTTAATAATCACTTCCTATTGAAGTCATAGACAACTAATTCTGCTAATAAGTTTAAATTGGATAAGTGTTTAGTGAACCTCAGCATTTTACAGTTGGCATGGTTTCAAAACTCAATTTAGCTACCAGGGAGAAGAAAAGCAGCTGGTTTTATTTTTGTTTGTATATTTTCCTTCTTTTTAATTTGGTAGTGGGCACACTCTGTTAGATCTAGCTCTGAATCTTGGCTCATCCAATTCCTACTAACTCTATGACCTCAGGCTAGCTATGACTCTTCTTTGAGACGTTATGTTTCCCTATATATCAAATAGAACTAAATAGTAATCATAGCAACAGTTTCTGTGAGCTTTCTATTTGCTAGGCACTGTTATAATCACTTTACATGTATTTACTCATTTAAATTATGTAGCAATCCTATTAGATAGGTTAATAGCACCAACTCTATTTTACAGATGAGAGAAGTGAATTACAGAAAAAATGAGCAACTTGTATAAGATGGCACAGCTGTAAAAGGTAGAGCCAGCGTTCAAGGCCAGGCTATCTGGCTCTGCCATCGGTGCTCTTGGCCGCTGTGTTACAGTGCCTATAAAAGGAAACATCCACTGAAAGGAGACTTGAATCTATGAGTCTCTGATTACAAATGATCTATTCTACCAACTTAGCTGAATTTCTTATAAGGCAGTTTTAAGGCATTAAGTGAGAAGTCATGTAAGAAAGAGATTTGAGAAATGAATACCTTGTTCACTACAGACTCTAAGCATATTTATGTTTCCTTCTTTTCCTGTTGCCCTGTAAGTGAAGTGACGGACTGCAAAAAAAGAGGATTCTGGGAGAAGCATTTAATTCCAGACCAATATCTAAACCAGAGTGTGTTAATGATATCAGAAAGCTCCTCAGACACATAAAAGAGAATCACTTGAGCGCCTGCATATTATGCACTTTCAAAAAGACACCTTCCTTTTTAAAAGTCTCTTCACCCATGCTGTTTTGGGTTGGGGAATGGGAAGCTTATTTAACTCTGGCATTATCATCCCCTGAAGATCAAGGGTGTACAATATCAAAGTCTAGCTGTTCACTCTGTGTGATCTGAAGGTCCTTGTTTAAAAAGATGCTATTAATGCCTCTTGCCATACTGGAACCAGGACAGTCGAATGCAAAGGGCACAGGATCACAGTACCTGTGGTATAGCTTGTGGGCCTTTTCTGTTCGCTCTTCCTCCAGAGTCTCTGTGCATCAGCCCCTGCATTAATACACCAGGGAAAACCTTCTAGTGCCTGCATGTGATTGTGCCATAATTTTCACTTCTGGGACTGTCTCAAGTTAGTAAAAGTCCCTGACTTTTCAGCTCTTCCTTCTCATAACAAAACATAGATGTCCCAAGCACTCAAAATTTAGGGGAAAAGGGCATGCACTAAGCAATGACTTGAGAGTTTTGGCTCTATTGTGAAACTTTTTTTTTTTTAAATAACAGGTCAATTTCAACTTTCCCTGGAGTCATCAATGAGAAGCCCGCAGTGAGAGACGCCAGCTGAAAGATGCTGATTTACGTGAGGAAGACAGAACTAACTGATTTTCGTATCTTATCTGTGGAAATATTCCAAGCGTTTTCATATGGAGTTTATAAAATTTGAGAAATGTGACCCAAAATTGAATTCAACATTGCTTGCTTCCTTAAATATTTTCCCCTAGCTCGATTTAGCTTCTGTTATGAATAGCTAAAAGCCATATATGCTATAATCTTCCCTAATTCCTGTGGATCCTACTCTTTAAAACTTAAAAACCTACTTTTCTGCATCGCCACTATCACTTCTTTACTTCAGAAATTTCCCTTTCTTTCATATATTATTGAGTTATATTAAAAGTGGTATTTTACTATGGTTAGAATCTTCTAGAAAATCGCTGTCCTACCACATAGGACCCTATAGAGGCTAGCAAAGAGGGAGAAGTATAACAGGAGAAATTCTCTTATAAAAATTGATCCTCAGGGCCGGATGCGGTGACTTGCGTCTGTAATCCCAGCACTTTGGGAGGCCAAGGAGGGCAGATCACCAGAGGTCAGAGGTTTGAGACCAGGCTGGCCAACATGGTGAAACCCTGTCTCTACTAAAAATACAAAAATTAGCCGGGCATGATGGCGTGTGCCTGTAATTGTGAGGCTGAGACAGGAGAATTGCTTGAACCCGTGAGGCAGAAGTTGCAGTGAACCGAGATTGGGCCACTGCACTCCAGCCTGGGTGACAGCAAGATTCCGACTCAAGAAAAAAAAAAAATCCCCAAGGAGCACAATACACACAGTAGCATCCAGGTGTCCCACACCAAGAGGTGATACTCTCCACGGACAACTTTGGATTATTGAATCATTTGAAAATTATTCAGATAACAGCTGGTTGATCAAATCGAGGTTTATCAATTGGGGTGAAAATAAAATGTAAATAAAATTAAAAGGCTCCATTTTCCCTGTAAGGTTCATAAAACAATGCCATCGTGGTTTCCAGAGAGAAAGGAGAAGTGTCTTGAACGCTGACAACCCCAAAAGTATATGCGTTAACCTACCTATAAGACATATGCAGAAATAGCTGTTCTATGCTGTTCATCCTAAATTAAAATTCTGTACATTGTAACACAGTTATATATACAGAAAAATCTAAATAAAAAGGTATAAAAATTAGGACTCTCAATTAAAAAATAAAGTATGATGAATAGATTAAATTGAGTTCAAACATTTTGAAAGAATTGTAGGTTAATAGTGGAGTACACAGAGGCTGGGTCTGCTCATGACTCCATCCCTCCCTAGAAGTTTATGTTGGCGTTTTGAGTAATAGATTAAATTATATATATATATATTCCTGTTTTATGCATTGAATGCTACATATTAAACATCATTCTATTAATCCTCTTCCTCCTCTTTTCCCTCCACTTTTTCTTTCTTCTCCTTTTCCTCCTCCAACTCCTCCTCTTTTTTCATCTTCTTCTTTTGTCCCTAATTAGAGCTGCCATTCTTTAAAGCACATTTCTTTTTTTTTTTAATTAGGTTAGACATTTGATTAGAAAAATAAGTCATCCTTTATGTATTTCATATAATTAATCCTTGCATTTTAACATTTTAAGAAAAAATAAATTCATTAAACATGAGAATAAAAATATTTTGAATACAACAATATGACCACCTGTAGTATTGATTCATTTTTCATTTTAAAACATTTGATAGTTTTCTAACTATAAATGCACTTGTTCATTTTGTATGTTTGTATCTCTATATCTGCCTCTTTGTTTGTTGCCTCTCTGTATGTGAGAGTGCCTTTTTGGATTGGCCATGAGGTACAAGACACACAGAGGGGAGCCATGGTTAGCTCCAAGCTTTGAGCATGTTATCAGCTCGAGATTCTCTTTTCTCCCACTTGACTTACTCTTCCCAGGCCCTACTCTCCAAGCCAAACAGCAAGAGCTATGCCTTAAGTGAACACGATATCCTGAGTGTCCTAGGCCCAGCACATGTTAGTGTTGCCTGTTGAATACTTACAATGGTTAGCACTTTAGAGCCCATAACTGAATTATACTTTCAGATACCTTTGGGTTTGGGTGTAGCCAGTTTCCCCACTGAGCATTTCTTTTTTTTTTTTTTTTTTTTTTTTTTTTTAGATGGAGTCTTGCTCTGTCGCCCAGGCTGGAGTGCAGTGGCGCGATCTCGGCTCACTGCAAGCTCCGCTTCCCGGGTTCACGCCATTCTTCTACCTCAGCCTCCTGAGTAGCTGGGACCACAGGCGCCTGCCACCATGCCCAGCTAATTTTTTTTGTATTTTTAGTAGAGACGGGGTTTCACCGTGTTAGCCAGGATGGTCTCGATCTCCTGACCTCGTGATCCACCCACCTCGGCCTCCCAAAGTGCTGGGATTACAGGCATGAGCCACTGTGCCCGGCCCCCACTGAGTATTTCAATTAGTAATCTGGTACTATCAAGATTTCTCTTTTCCTCAGTCATGGGACCTATAGCATTTTTAATATCAGAGTTCTGTCAGCCACAGCCACTCTCATAAAATATGAGCACAAAACAATCTCTATTTAAGATAGTTTGTTCTCATTATTCATGGTAATTATGTCCTAAAAAGTCACCATAAACACTGAATTAGTGAATATTGAACCATTGTTCCTAGGGGAAATACATGGTTAGGTGTCTGCAAGCCCCTGCTCACAACATCTTTATACTGATCAATACGTAACCTTGTTTCCTGTGTAATTTTGTTTAAAGACACTCTATTTAAATATATGGTAGATTCATTAATGTTGAACTCATAGCCAGCAGCACTATAAATCATGCCTGAACAAAGCTTATCTAAGACTCATATTTTCTCCATAACACACACCATACCCCTCTTGAAATTAGAAACACTAGGTAACAGTACGGCACTATACTGGGGGGGTCATTTTTTAAAAGTGAAATGACAAAGCCAAAAATATAAAAAAATGCAAAAACAGCAACGCTACACAGACAGTGAAAATGGCACTGTTTACAGTGTCAGAGCTGAAACAAGACAGAGCATGGCCTTGATAGACTTTAGTCGGAAATGTGCTCATTGGGTGACTCCATTCTTTTGTTGTCCCATGCATGTCTATGAATGAACACTAAAACACGCTATTGATTTTAGGCTATAAATAAATTTTAGCAAGTAGGCCAATTCACAAATACAGAATCCACAAAATGAAGATTAACTATGCTTAGGAGCTGTTTGTAAAGTGCAACATGGCCTGCCTTCTCATGACGAGTTATACTCTATTTATTAATAATTCTCACAATAACGCTATAAGATGGAGAAGAAAATTAGCTGAAAAGATTAATAGGTTCAGGATTTCATCCCCAGTCTGTGTGACTCAGAGACAGAGACCCAGGCCTTTATCAGTATACCACTCCCGTTCCCTTGTTGAGCCACCTCTCTAGGCTGACGCTAAACTGGAGTTCCTGCTCCACGTACTCAACATAAACATCCTCTCCATACTGCAAAACTCAAGAGTGAGTAACATGATGTGGTAGGACTCTAACCACATGAATAAACTGATCTTCAAAGAAATTCAAAAAACAGTGTTAGGTATAATAGACAATTCCGAAGAAAAAAATATGCAGGTCACATGGTCTTCTCACTGTATCACTCATAGCCTTCATGTCAGCCTTTGGAGGTTTTCCATCCGGCAATTCCAAAAGTATCTACCAGTTGTTTCAAGATACTCTCAAAATGGGGTGGGGGTTGGTGATAGAGAATTATGCAATGAAATTTACTGGGGTGCTCATAATAGATATTTCTCCTGAAGAATGAGAGTATGCAGCAATACATTTTAAATGCTTTTACAAGTCCAACACGAAATAAACTTCTATTTTTTTTTTTTTTTTTGAAACGGAGTCTCGCTCTGCCACCCAGGCTGGAGTGCAGTGGCATGATCTCGGCTCACTGCAAGCTCCGCCTCCCAGGTTAATGCCATTCTCCTGCCTCAGCCTCCTGAGTAGCTGGGACTACAGGCGCCCGCCACCATGCCCGGATAATTTCTTTTTTTGTATTTTTAGTAGAGACGGGGTTTCACCGTGTTAGCCAGGATGGTCTTGATCTCCTGACTTCGTGATCCACCCTCCTCGGCCTCCCAAAGTTCTGGGATTACAGGCGTGAGCCACCATGCCCAGCCAAAATAAACTTCTTTAATACTTTCCAAAATTATTTAACTTATGTAGCAGACTTTGACAAACATTTTTGAAAATTCCGTTCCAATGAAATATGTTCATTTTATAGATGAAGAATCTGAGAATTCGAAAGATGAGATCTTACCTATGACCCCAAATTATTTAGCAGAAGAGCCAAGACCTAAACCCAGAACTTTTAAGTAATAGGTCAGTGTGAATTTCTGTGACACAAAGTTGCCTCTCTAAGCATCTTGTAATAATCTCCACATCTGTCTTATTGAAAACAAGACAGTCAGTTTTTATCAAAAACATTTTCATGAGGGACCATCAAGTTCTCTATATTCTTGGAGGTGGATGCACAAGCCTCAATTATAAACTGCTAACAGGACAGGCCATAAGAGAATCAAATAAATGCCTTAAGCACATACTAAGTATACCATGTATTTTATCAACTGCTTTATATATGTTATTTCAGATAATCCAGAAATCAAATCTGTAGCATGCACTTAATTAGACCCAAATTACATATGAATATGCTAAGTTTCAAACTGGTTAAATACTATCATTATTTTTCCCTGTAGTTGAGTTGAGTCTGATTTTCAGCCTTAGAACTACATGGAGATTCTCTGGACAGAAAGACAGAATCAATATACTTTTGAACTTTCCAAGAGTTGGGGAAGCCCCTGCAGAGAAAAGAAAAGCAAAAGTTTCTTTAGAAGTTGCTGATTTTTCTATTCTTTTTTGTTTCTTGACTTTTTTCTCCTTTAATAAACTTCTCTTTCCAGACTTCTTATCTGGAGCCTTGCATATTGCTGACTAGATGTTTCTTTCTCAGTTCTCAGAGGACACATCGGTATCTTCGCTGTTGTGAAGAAGTAACACAAGGTAAATCTGCATGCCATTTCAGCTACCTAAAAATGTACATGCGGAGAGGAGCTTAGCAGTCTTGTGCAATTTCATTACTACTGAGAAGGAAGTGTAATATGAGCCTTTGGGGTTTTCCAGAATCTGCCAAATGCCATGGGAGGTAAAATAAATAAATAAATAAATAAATAAATAAATAAAAGCCAAACAAACAACAGAATAACCACTGTCTTAGTCTTTGTGTTACTGTAACAGAATATCACAGACCAAATAATTTATAAAGAAAAGAAATTTATTTCCCACAGCTCTGAAAGCTGTGAAGTCCAATATCAAGGTTCCGGCATCTGGGAAAGACCTTCTTGCTGCACCACTGCATGGTGGAAGATGGAAGGGGAAAAGAGCATGTGAGAGAGCAAGAGACAAAGGTAGAAACACTTGTCTTTTTATATCAGGCCTCCACTCCTGTGATAATTAATCCATTCCCAAGATAATGCCACTTGTCCATTAATGAGGACAGAACCACTGTGAAATAATCATTTCTTAAAATTCCCATCTCTCAGCAATGTTGCATTGGGGGTTAAATTTCTAACACATAAACTTTGGGGCACGCATTCAAGCTATAGCAGGCACCAACCTTATGTTTTACTCAATACCCCACAGCAGTGAGTTCTAAGCTGTCGCGCACAGATGTAAAGATAATGTTGAGAAGTGCAGTTAGCCAGCCCTTTGAATTGTTTCAGGCGTCAACGAGAGATTTGCCTTTACTAGCTTTGTATTATTAACAATGTTTGCTTTAGTTCTTCAAGTTTTTTGCTTTATTTTATTTTTGCTAAGTATCTTATTTTGATGTCTTGCCAATTCCCTTTAATTATACATTTTAGTCACATGAACCTGTCTGTGGATCCTGACACACACCACTGGGTTTCATAACTTTGTGTCATTCCATAGGCTGGACTCCATTTCTTTCCTGCCTCGTGAACTCCTAGTTGTTAAAACGCGGTACAAACTTCCTCAGTTTTTTTGCCTGCCCACTGCCCACACTGAGTTGGTTCTATCATTGTCTTCCTGTAGTACTTACAGAGATCTCAAATCATTTGCCTAGGTTTACAGTGAGTTCCAGTTTGCTGAGAACAAACTTGGTATATGCTTTAAGTGCTGGTGGAATTATTGATAGTTACCCACTTCCATACTCAGAAGTACCTGTTTTTGGTGATATATGGTCCCCCTACACTTATCCACCTATGGTTATTGGCCTTTTTCCTTCCCTAGATTACAGCCTCCTGGTAGGTCACGAATAACATTCCATTTACTGTTTTATTCCTTGTGGCTACCCAAGTGTCTGACTTAATAGACATCTGCAGAATAATAAAAACAAATATTTCTCAAGGTAATCCACAACTGTCTGAATCCATATTTCATGCTGTTTATAAAATGACACATTGGAAATAAGCCTAAATTATACAGAGACACTTGTTGAAATCTTCCTTTTCATTGAACGCACATCAGCAATGTTATCTTCACTGGGAGGCTTCTCTGATTCTCTTCTCAGAATCACCATATCTTTCATTCACTGTACCACGGTGCCTTAACTGCAGCATATCACATTACACCTTAAAATACATTTGGTCATCCTTCCTCCTATCTTGGTATCCCACAGTCTGACATATCTTTGAAGGCAAATGATACTGTTTTAATTATCAACGCATACAACACTGCACTTCTACTACTAATAATTGTTAACAGTACCTGCGGGTTTTCTGTATGTTAGGTATGGCGCCAGGCAATTCATATGTTTTATCCCATTCAATTTTCACAATAACCTTATGAGTAGGTAGTATTACTGCAACCAATTTTATACTTTAAGGACACTGAGGTTCAAAATGTTAAATTGTTTATCTTAGGATATAATGCTAATAAGTGGTAAATTTGAGATTCAATCTTAGGTGTCTCTAACTCCAGAGGATATTGTTGTATTTCTTTAAATGATAAGAATCCTTCATTTATTTATTTAAAATGTCTTTCTATATTTATATCTAGCTAACTAGCTAGCTAGCTCTATCTAGATATATTTTCTACCAGAAATCTAAGCCATATTTCAGATGTCTTCTGAGAAAGAAATCAGAATTAATAAATATAGCATTGACTTTTCTTCTTTTGTTAGCTGACATATCTGAAAGCGAGGCATCTGGATAGAATTGGCAGTTATTGAATGGTGTGTGATTTATTCATTGTTCTCTACAGAGATACTCATCATCCCTTGATCCAATCAAAAGAGAAGCCTAATACCAAAATTCAGCCACAGCAGAAGGCATTTAATTCTTGGCTTATTTCACAAAATCCACTGACACATCCTTCAATACTTTAAGACAGAGACGCTGCTGAAGAAATTGTTTGCCACGGGTGTGTGGGCCACGTGGAAAGCAAAGTTCTCTATCCGCTTATGAATCGTATTTCACGTCTTGTTCGATTAATGATGCTGTCTAACCGTAAGAACTATTCAACACATTGTATCAGCAGGCATCTGCTAACTTCCGAAACATACAGAACACTTAGCAGTTCATGGTTTTTGTGCATTATCTCCATTGATCCTGATGAAACAGGCAGGATGGAGATTACTTAACCTGTTTCCCAGAAAAGAAAATGTAGGTTTAGGAAGTTAAGTGAAGCAATCATAAGCTCACAAGAAGCAAAAATGGGTCTCTCTAGCTCATGTCTTTTACTCTCCGAGTCCAGGTTTCCTTCTACTTTTTACTCTGCCATGCTCATTTATGAAACTCTAAGTTATCTGAAAGTGAGACTATTTTGCAATTATTAGGTTATGAGATATCTTGAAATATTTAAATTCAGCCACCACTTATTGAAACACGTAAGTTATAGGGTGCACACTAAAATATCTCCAGGAATCAGCCCGTAATTGGAATAGGTAAGATGTTTAGAAATTGCCAGCTGCAGTAGTGAAAACAACAGGGGTCTACACATGCCAAGTCCACAAAGAGGTACTTAAACTGTAAAGTGTTTTCGAATTCAAGGTTGTCTCATACTCAAACTAGAATTTCTCCAAGTGCATTAATAAGTGTCCTGCAAAATAGGATTCCAGAGTCAAAGGCATTTTATAGAATATAAGTTGTTTATTGTGTTGATGAAAATTTAAAATTCAATCAAAATATAAAAATCTATGATAAGTCATTCACTTAAAAACGCTAATAAAATGTTTTGTTTTGTTACAGAATCTATTGGTAAACCATTTAAATGAGATTTTTCACTCCATTTTGATACATATTACTATCTTTTGGCACACAGTTTGAGATATCTTTCCTAAGACAGTATATCAATACTGAAGGACCCTTAAGGTTGTAGAGTTTTATTTTTCTTCATATATGTTGGTTTCCCTTAAATTCCATTGGCAATATTTGTGGTAGTAAATCTAGAACCTGCACACACAAACTTACAGAGAGAACAGGCAACAAATTTCTTTCTGGTGTATAAGCTGTTCAGGTAAATGAACGTCTTTCCAGAAACTCTTGATGGGCACTTTCAAGTAGAATGAATTATTTCATTATTGTTTATTTTTTTCCTTCAGCACACTTAAGCCAAGGTAAATCCACACAGTGTGAGGGAGGGTGTCTCCTGGTAATGCTCTTCTTGGTGAGTGGAGAGACCTGTATTCTAAGTCCAGAGGTCTGAAGCTTCATTTGAAATTTTACACTGTTAGTGTGTGTGGTGGTTTGGAAATGCACCACAGTCCTTTGACAATCATAACATCAAAAGTTTGAGGAGCCGAATTCCTTCCCCTGAGGTTGTTACAACAGGCATATCAAATTCTGACACATCCAGGACACCTGGTAATTCACAGCGGGGGTTTGTGCATTTTCTTTCCTCATTCTGATGAAACTCATTTCTAATGAACAGAATGTGGAAAAAGTGAAAGTGGCATTGTGACTTCTGAGACTGAGTCATAAGAGGCTGTAACTCCCTCCTTGCATCTCTGTTTCTTTCTTTCACCACTCTCTGTGGGGGAAGCCAGCTGTCATGGCATGAAGAGGTTGACTTCCAGAGGAAATAATCCCAGCTGCCAAAAATGAGTCTGATCTGAGTAGTAAACCACACAGAAGTGGATCTTCCAGCTCCAGTCAAGCCTTCAGCAAAGAAGAGCAAAAGGATCCCCACATTTTCAAATATTTTGTGATATTAGTTTCTATCTAATCTAGCAATTTTCTGAATGTTTATTTCACCATTCTGGCCCCTACAGAAATGGAGCAGGTCCTGGAGAATGACTATAGACCTCCACCTCCACATCTGTCATCAAGGAGTGGCTGCGCTTACTGTGCTAGACATTGTATCAGAGCTGGAGTGACGAACAAGGCCTCAGGTACATGGCATGTGGCCATGATCTGATAATGCAGTCTTTTCCATTGCAACTAGAAAACAGTATTGGAAACAGTTTGTATTCATATGGACAGACAGCAAGATTAATGTACAGTACTGCCTCAAGGTTACATTACTTCACCCACCCTCTGTTATGATATCCAAATAACATCTGGACCACCTCACAGCGTGTTACACTGATCCACTTCATTTGATTGTGTCATGGTGAATGGACAGGTGGAGCAAGCATTAGCTAGGAGACTGAAGATGCTCCAGAGGATGGGAGATAGATTGCAGGAATATTCAGTAAAGGTTTTAGTGGTCAAGTTCAGGAGTCTTGACAGGATACTCCTTCCAAAATGTCACCTGCATCTTGCATCACCTACCATAAAGTAGGTAGCATGGCACCTGGATGGCCTCTTTGACTTCTAAAATCAAGACATTCCACATCTAGGAATATTGTTCCAGATATATTGTCACCCGGTGACACAGAAAGCTGACATCTCTGAGTAAGGCTCACAACAAAAAGGGCATGGCAGCAGGCATAAGGCACAGTACAATCATCCCTGACACTACAGCTGGGTGACCAGCAGATCCTGTGGAGTTGGAAGCGTCAGTGATGGGAAAAAGTGGAAAAAGGGAAAAGCTATAGGAAAAGGAATATGGAGCTTGTGGCAAATCCAAGTGGAGAAATCACAATGCAAACCCCCAGGATTCTGAAGGAAAGCCATTCCATTCACAGCAAGATAATTTTGTGCCCTTTTAAAATCAGCTCTTGACTTACTGGACTCTAATAGCATCCAATAGTCTAATAAACCCTTGGACACCATAAGACAGATCAGGCCTTCTCCTGGTGGCTTAAATAAAAGCCTCTCACACTAGTAGATCCTCTTTCTTTGTGAGTCTCTAAATATCAGCATCTCAAGATCTTTTCACTGGAGCATTTTACTTTTCCAGAAAAGAACCCCTAATATAATTTCTAAGGGTGCATTAGGAAATGGCTGAGCTACATGCTGGCTGTGAAGACTGGGTCTGGAAACACGGGGGTCCACGTATTCTGTGCAGAGAATTACAACAGATAGATAATGACCGCTCTCCACTCCACTTTCCAAACACATGTTTCAATAGCACCCCATATGCCAGGGCATTTGATTTTCTTCTGGAGTGCTTTCAGGAGAAATTGCTTCATATTTTAAGAGAATATTTCTAGAAGTCACTGTGTTATAACTTCCTTTCCAACTTTTGCTCTTTGAAACTGGCTGAAATTTCTTGTATGCTACACTATTATCTCCTCTCATATAATCGTGGACCTTGTGGGATACTACTTTCTAAAAATTGGGTTTTACTTCAATTTTACAGGGATCCTAGAAAGAAGACATGCTTAATTTTTGTTGAGTCAAGCATTTTAAACTGCAAACAATGTCTTTTCTATGTTACACTATCAAATATTAGGCAACAAGCACATTTATATTATTTATTTATCTTTTTTGAGACAGGGTTTCGCTCCGTCACCCAGGCTGGAGTGCAGTGGCACAATCCCAGCTCACTGAAGCCTCGAATTTCTGGACTCAAGCAATCCTTCCTCCTCTACCTCCCAAGCAGCTGGGACTACAGGTGGACACCACCAAGTCCAGCTAATTTCTTCTTACTTTTTAGAGACAGGGTTTCACCATGATTCCCAGGCTGGTCGCCAACTCCTGGCTCAAGTGATCCTCCTGCCCTGACCTCCCAAAGTGCTGGCATTACAGGTATGTGCCACCATGCTTAGCCTATATCAATCTTTAAGATCCACAAGTTAATAACAGACATATAAAAAAACAAAGTGGCAGAGCTCAATGCACCGAACTCCCAGTTTTCTAACCAGGCACATACCTGTTTTTGAGACTTTAGAGTATTGGTCTTTACGAACATCCAGTCTGAGCCCCTTTATTAAGTGTCTTATCATGCTATATCTGACACTCAGTACCACATTGGAAGACAGATATTAAAGTCCTATTGTACTGATGAGTCAAATGAAGTCTAGGGACTCTAAGTGATATACCCAAAGCTTTGCTTCTGGTAAATGAGAACTGTAGGATTCATATTCATATTTCCTTGCCTCCAAGGGCTGCAGTTTCAATCATTTTCTATTTCCTCAGTTCCTTCAGGGAGTTACACTTGGGCCATTTACAGATGTAAACATACCTTACAAGTCTGAGCTTCAAGGAGTGGGGGAATCCTTGATGTCTCCTAAAGGGTTAGATGCTTAATCATGATTCATGTAACAGGTACTTATTTACAGTAAATATTGCAATTCATGCAATTAGAATTTTTCACTTGGTAATATTATAATATTAGCTTATATACTTTCCCACCATTAAAATGTGGATTTTTAAAGGCAAGCTGTTTCTTATTTACTTTCTTTTAACCAGTAAACAACAAAATGTACAGCCCACAGTGCATATTTATTGAATTCACCAATTACCATTATGCATTCTATCTGTCAAATAATATTACTTTGAACTGTGAAAGCACCTTTAAACTG
Source organism: Homo sapiens (assembly GCF_000001405.40). Taxonomy (NCBI): domain Eukaryota; kingdom Metazoa; phylum Chordata; class Mammalia; order Primates; family Hominidae; genus Homo; species Homo sapiens. The sequence continues at coordinate 136,663,377 of NC_000008.11, read as the reverse complement.
AGGGAAAATAACAGGTAATGAGCTTTATCATTAGTATAAAAACAAGTGACCGAGAATGAATAACATTTTTATCTGCAGATTTTCTCAGGGATGATAACATCTGAGGGAGGTGTTCACACCTAGAAAGCAGGAGGCTAGAGTTGCAGTTCGGCCACTTCCTTTTCATATTTTTATAATCTGGGGAATTTGATCTTTTTCTCTATGTCTCATAATTCTGGTGTGGCTGAAAAGACCATATCAGAAGTCTGAACAGCTTCTTAGGAGCCATTTTTGGCCCACAGACATGTTTGGATTAAATGATATTGTTTTTTGTCTGTTCATTTCATTATTTTTTTAAATAAACTATATTTCTTAAAGGAGTTTTAGGTTTACAAGAGAGTTCCCATATACCCTCTACCCCCAAACATGCACATCTCTTACTGTGAACATCCTCCACCAGCATGGTCCATGTGTTACAACGCATGAACCCACATTGACATGTCATTATTACCCAAAATTCATAGTTTACATTAGGGTTCACTCTTGGTGTTGTACATTACATGAGTTTGGATAAATGTATAATGACATGTATCCACCACTATAATATCATACAGAATGGTTTCACTGCGCTAAAATCCTCTGTGTTCCAACTATTCCTTTTTCCCAATCCCTAACTCAGCTATGCATACTTTTTAAACTTTTATATTTTTATAAAACCCAAAATCTTGGAGATCACTGCAGGGTATTGAGACTTTCCTCATTCTTCTCTTTTTTTTCACTTAAACTTTTTAATTTGGAGATAATCGTAATAAATATATAGTTGTAAGTAATCACAGAGAGAGGTCCCATGTACTCTTTCAATTATTTCTCCCAACAGGAACGTCTTGCACAAATATAGTGCAATACCGTAGCCAGGACATTGATATCAACACAGTCAAGCTGTAGAACATTTCTATCACCACAGGACCCCCCCCATGTAGCCTCTGAGAGCCGCTTCCATTTTCCCCTGGCCCCCACCTCCTCCTTAACTCTCAGAAAAAATGCCAATATGTTTTTAATTCCAATAATGTGGTCATTGGAAGACTGTTATATACATGAAACCTTACAATCCACAGCTTTTGATATTGGCTTTTGTCACTCAGTATAATTCTCTGGAGATTCATCCAGCTCATAAAATTTGTCAATTGTTTGCTCCTTTTCAAGGCTGACTAGTATTTATGGTATGACTGTCATGGCTATTCAGGGTATCACAGCCTACTTGACCATTTACCCATTGAAGAATATCTGGGGTTATTATGAACAAAACATTTGGTTCAGGTTTTTGTGTGAATATGAGTTAATTTCTCTATGGTGAAAGACCATAAATACAATTTATGGGTCATACAGTATTTGGATGTATAATTGTCTAAGACACTTCCTAACTATTTCTAGGGCAGCTGTACCATTTTATATTCCTACCAGCAATGTATGAGTGATCTGATTTTTCTGAACTCTTGCCAGCATTTAATATTGTTGCTATTTCTTTTTTTTTTTTTTTTTTTTTTTTTTGAGACGGAATCTCGCTGTCGCCCAGGCTGGAGTGCAGTGGCGCAATCTCGGCTCACTGCAAGCTCCGCCTCCCGGGTTCACGCCATTCTCCTGCCTCAGCCTCCCGAGTAGCTGGGACTACAGGCGCCCGCCACCTCGCCCGGCTAATTTTTTTGTATTTTTAGTAGAGACGGGGTTTCACCGTGTTAGCCAGGATGGTCTCGATCTCCTGACCTCGTGATCCGCCCGCCTCGGCCTCCCAAAGTGCTGGGATTACAGGCGTGAGCCACCGCGCCCGGCCTGCTATTTCTTTTATTTTAGCTATTATAATAGGTTTGTAGTGAACTATCATTCTGGTTTTCATTTCCATTGCCCTGGTAGCTAGTAATGTTGAATATTTTTTCTGTGCTTATTTGCCATCTGTATATGTCTTCAGTGAAATGATTATTCATATATTATTACTTTTTGAAAGGTAATGACATATTCTAGATACAATTTTTCAGACACATACTTTGCAAATATTTTTTCTCTCAGTCTGTAGATTAAATTTTCATTTTCTTAATACATCTTTTTCAGTGCTAAAGTTTTTAATTTTTACCCAGTTGAATTTATACATTTTTATTTTCCTAAATCATATGTAATATATATTATATAAATATTATATTATATATGCATATATATATATTTTTTTTTGAGACAAGAGTTTTGCTCTTGTCACCCAGGCTGGAGTGCAATGGAGCGACCTCGGCTCACTTTAACCTCCACCTCCCAGGCTCAAGCGATTCTCCTGCCTCAGCTTCCTGAGTAGCTGGGATTACCAGCATGTGCCACCAGGCCTGGCTAATTTTTGTATTTTTAGTAGACAGGGTTTCACCATGTTGGCCAGGCTAGTCTCGAACTCCTGACCTCAGGTGATCCGCTGCCTCGGCCTCCCACAGTGCTGGGATTACAAGCATGAGCCACTGTCCCCAGCCCCTAAATTATACATTTTGGTTTAAAGTTGAACAGTTATTTGCTTAGCCCTGGATCCTGAAGATATTTATCTATGTTTGTTTAAAAGTTTTAACATTTTACATTTATGCCTGTGACCCATTTTGAGTTAATGTGTGTATATTGTGTAAGACTACATCAATGTTCATTTTTTTACTTATAAACGTTCACTTGCGCCAAGATAATTTATTGAAGTGGCTATCTTTTCTTCATTGAATTGATGTTGCATGAAAAGTCAGTCAGGCATGATTGTGAAGTTCTCCCTGTAGTTTCCCTGTTTTGCTCCATTGGTATACATATGTCTGTTCCTCCACCGTTCCACACAGTCTTAACCATTATCACTCCATCATTAGGCATGGGATTATACAGAATGAGTCTTCCCAATTTGTCTTCCTTTTCAAGATTGTCCATTTATTCCAATTTCCTGGCCTTTCCAAATAGATTTTTAAATAATCTTGTTTATATCTACAAAGATTTTGCTGGGAATTTAAAAGAAATTGCATGAAAGCTGTGTGTCAACTTGGGAAGAGTTATACCTTTTCTTCGATTTCTTCATAAGTATTATGTAGTAGTCAGTATACAAGTTTTGCACACGTTTTAGTATATTTACACTTAAGTATTTTATTGTTTTTGAGTGATTATAAATGGCATTGTATTTTTATTTCCAATGCTCACATGCTCTTTGCTAGTTATAGAAATACAAGTTTTTGTATGTTTGTCTTGTATTTTGCAATCTTACTGAATGCACTTAGTTCTAGGCAATCATGTCACTTGAAAATAGGAATAGTTATATTTTTTAATTTTCAATCTACATGCCTTTTATTTCCTTTGCTATTCAATTATGCTGGCTAGATTTTCCAACAAACTATTGAAAAGAATAGTGACTGCAGAGGTCATTTCCTTGTTCTTGATCTTAGGGGGAACGATTAATTTTTACAATTCAGTATAATATAAGTTATACATTTTGTAGATGCTTTAACTGAAGTTAAGAAAGTTTCCCATTTATGTTTTTCCGTGTTTCTATTATAAATAGATGCTACATTTTGCTCGTTTTTTGTTTTTATTTTTCTATATTGATTGATATGATCGTATGACTTCTACTTTAGTCCGTAAGCATGGTAGATTATATTGATCAATTTTTGGATTTTGAATCAGCCTTCCATTCTGGAAATAAACATCACTTGGTCCTGAGGGTATAATTATTTGTATATTGCTGAATTCTACCTGGTAATAGTTAATAATTTTCACATCTATATTCATGGGGGATCCTGGCCTGTAGTTTGCTGCAGTCCAATTGTCTTTGTCTAATTTTTATACTAGTGTAATAATATCCTCATAAAATTAGTGAAGAAGTATTTCTTCCTCCTCTATTTACTAGAATATGTTGTACAGAATTGGTGTTCATTCTTCTTTAAATATTTGACAGGGTTACCCTGTAGAATCATCACAGCATGAAGATTTCTTGTTTGAAAATGTCTTTTAAAATTGTAATTTCCATTTTCTTAGTAGTTACGGGGATATGCAACGTATCTGTTATATATTAGGTGAGTAGCAATAGTCTGTATTTTGCCAGGAATTGATTCCTTTTGTAGCAATAGTCTGTATTTTGCCAGGAATTGATTCCTTTCATCTAAATTGTCAAAATTATATGTGTAGCATTGTTAATAGCGTTGCCTTATTATCCTTTAAAAGTTTGCAAGATTTGTAGTCTTATTTCCTGTTTTATTCCTGATATTGGTAATCTGTGTCTTCTCTTTCTTTCTCTCTTTTATTATTTGACATTCTTGCTAGAAATTGCCAATTTTATTGATGTTTTCAAGTAATCAGCTCTTTGCTTCACTGATTTTTTTCTACTTTGTTTTTAATTTTAATGATTTCTATTTTGCCCCTAACTTTATTATTTCCCTGCTTCCTTTATTTTTTCTTTTCTACACTCTTGCAGTAGGAAGTTTGAATATCGATCTGAAGTCTTTCCTCTGTTTAAATGCATGCATTTAGTGCTATAAATCTCCCTCTCACCACTGTTTTGTGTCTTTCAAATTTTGGTACGTTTTCTTTTAATGTTTATTTAATTTTTTTCAATTTCACTTAAGACTGTTTCTGACTCATGGATCACTTTAAAATGTTTTGTCTAGTTACTGTCAGAAGCTGAGCTAAACCGGTAGAGGGAGAATTGAGCTGTCAGGTATGAGAGCAGCTGATTAAAGCAACAAGCCATCCATGGAAGTGTTAAGCCTTTATCAATTACTGCAATGGTACAAGCAAGAGTCTAAAATCAGAGCCGGAGACAAATCTCCCTCTTTCATTTTCCCCCAGTGGAATAGCACACCAGTCAAGTATCATCTGGATCTGACAGATGTGGGGGTGCCTCAATGTTGAGAACCCTAAATAAAAAGGCACCTAAGTTTTAAGGACGTTGAGGGGGGTGTGATGAATGAGGGGAAAAAGCTAGGAGTGCAAAATTACTGGACACTGAGTTAGAGTGGGAAAAAGTATCTTCAAGTTTCCCTTTCTTCCTCCCACAAGGATTTCCTGGTTGAGGTAGCGCCCTGAAGAGGACCTGGCCCAAGGCCTCAGGGAAAGACAGCTAGGGGGAGAGCAACCGAGGCTCAGAATGCAAATATGTGAAGACCATGACTGGCCAGGAGGCCCTGAGTCCTTGATTGCAGCTTTCCTCAGAGACTGCCATGCATTGGCTTGCATCCAGCCTGGTGTTGGAGGGTAGCTTTCTTGGTGAGGCCTGGCAGGTGGAGCCTTCGTAATTGCCTATGGTTTGGCCTGGAAAATCTCAGATAGGTTTTTGACCAGGAGTCAGACTCCTCAATTTCACTCTTGAAGTTTTAGGACCTGAGAAATAAAAATAAGCTAGCCTATCGTAGACCCTAATAGGTCAGATTTAGAGGGGGATGTGGCAGTAACCAAGAAGTCAGACTGAAGTAAAAGTTGACCACAGACATAATCAAGATCACTCCAGGTGGGGTCATCAGACCTACCTGGAAAACTGCAGATAACCATGAGTCCCAACAGTTACCAAGCCAGGAAAAGCTGTATCATCACCCATCTCATTGTCCATCAGGGCTACTTTAGAGAGCCAGAAGATTTCCTCTTTTTTTTTTTTTTTTTTTTGAGACGGAGTCTCACTTTGTGGCCAGGCTGGAGTGCAGTGGCGCTATCTCATCTCACTGCAACCTCCGCCTCCCGGGTTCAAGTGATTCTCCTGCCTCAGCCTCCCGAGTAGCTGGGACTACAGGTGCATGCCACCACACCCAGCTAATTTTTGTATTTTTAGTAGAGACAGGGTTTCATCATGTTGGCCAGGATGGTCTCAAACTCCTGACCTCATGATCTGCCTGCCTCGGCCTCCAAAAGTGCTGGGATTACAGGCATGAGCCACCACGCCTGGCCCTTTTTTCATTTTCTCATTTTTTTTTAACTAAGTTTTTGTCTGTATCCTTTCTTCCCTGGCCCAAAGTATTAATTTAGGTACCGCATACGTCTAACCAGAATGTTGAAGCTGACTTGACATATCTCAGGACTGAGACAGTGTCAGGATGGTCAGATACACATCCAAGAAGTGCAGTCTCAGAGGATGCACATGGTCCCTGGAAATAAAGAGTTGGCAATGTTAGATTATTGCAATTAGGACACACATTAGTAAGGCAGTACAGGCTAACAGGCCTGCTCATGTAGTCCTGTTATTAGAGGTACTGCCTGAAATTGTCAGTATTGAACAGGTTTGGTCATGACATTAGTCCATTGGCCTCACCAATATGGACAACCCCTGGAGTTATTTTGGGTGAAAAGTTCAGGAGCTGAGGCCAACCTCTGTCATCTTATGGTCAGCCTTGTCAGGGGTCACTGTAGGTGTTAAGATGTGTTCTGGTTATATTTCCATTGCTGATTTCTGGTTCAACTAATTTCTGATTAAAGGATGTAGCCTGTGGCTGGGCACGGTGGCTCACATCTGTTATCCTAGCACTTTGGGAGGCCTAGGCAGGTGGATCACGAGGTCAGGAGATCAAGACCATCCTGGCTAACACGGTGAAACCCCATTTCTACTAAAAATATAAAAAATTAGCCAGGCGTGGTGGCGGGTACCTGTAGTCCCAGCTACTCAGGAGGCTGAGGTGGGAGAATGGCTCAAACCCAGGAGGTGGAGGTTGCAGTGAGCCGAGATCATGCCACTACACTCCAGCCTGGGCATCAGAGCGAGACTCCGTCTCAAAAAAAAAAAAAAAAAAAAAAGAATGTAGCCGGTATAATTTTAATTTCTTTAAAATTGTTTGATGTGTACTTCATCATCCAAGATAGGACCTGTCTTAGTATGTCTTTGTGTCTTAGTATATATTCTAGGGGCACTCAAAATGAATGGTATGCTCCTGTTTTGGGGTGGATGCTAATCCAACAGAATTCTTAAATTCACTGAGTGTTTCTCACTTGAGTGTAGGGCAGACATAAATAATTCAGAGATCTCTATAACTCAAGGAAATGCTAGATATGCTAGTTCACAACGACAGCAAAGCATCCTCCTGAACACTAACTGTATATGGGAGCAACTGGGATAGTTTCAGGGGATGGACAGAATATGACACATGGAGACATTTCATGAATTAGTGGAAGGAGAAATTCAGGAAGGAAAAACTTTTCTAGAGCCTTTCAAATAAACCATCTCTTTCCACGTACGAACAAACTGTAGAACTACCTTGATCACTGTTCTTGATCTCTGAGAGGATTCATTACCTTAGCAATGATTTGTAGAAATGTTCCAAATGCTAACATGGAGTAATACAAAGGTGAATATGAAATTGTCAGTGGCCTGGAAGACCTGGCTGATGCCTATGAACCAAGCCAGTCTGTGGGGCAGGGGCTAGCTAAAACATAAATTATACCTGCAATTACATGAGCTGGGATTCTAGGTTTTTTAGGTATCAAGGCTCATACTCTTTCTTTTCTTTTTTTTCTTTTTTTTTATTATACTTTAAGTTTTAGGGTACATGTGCACATTGTGCAGGTTAGTTACATATGTATACATGTGCCATGCTGGTGCGCTGCACCCACTAACTCGTCATCTAGCATTAGGTATATCTCCCAATGCTATCCCTCCCCCCTCCCCCCACCCCACCACAGTCCCCAGAGTGTGATATTCCCCTTCCTGTGTCCATGATAGAATGGATTAAGAAAATGTGGCACATATACACCATGGAATACTATGCAGCCATAAAAAATGATGAGTTCATGTCCTTTGTAGGGACATGGATGAAATTGGAAATCATCATTCTCAGTAAACTATCGCAAGAACAAAAAAACAAACACCGCATATTCTCACTCATAGGTGGGAATTGAACAATGGGCTCATACTCTTTCTATAACACCTCACCATACCAAAGCATCTTCATCTTAGTTACTGCAGTTTGTTACTTTTGGATATCACTATCTAAAAACACTTTTATCTGCTCTTTTCAGGAAGAAGCATATTTCTCATTGAGACAGCAGTTATCTTACATGATCACCAACTGAAGGAAAGAACTTTTAGAGATGTGTGATCATTGTATCTTTCCCTTGGCTCCACGAGTATCTATACTCACTGAACTGCTTGAAGAGACTTCGTAGGCATAAAGATTTCTTCTCTACATCCAGATAGTTTTGATTATTTTTCTTTGTGATCAACCATATAAATCCAGTTTATTCTTGGTAATTTGAAAAGTGCCATAAAAGAATGGCAATAACAATAATGATAACAATAATTAAAACATGTTAATTACTCTTCTATTATATGTATGACCTTTGGAGTCAGGTACTGTGCCTATCAGGAACCTGAATAGTAAGCAACAGAAATTGCTTGGCTAATTTAAGCAGGAAAAGAATGTATTGAAATGATATCAAGGTGTCACAGAATTGCTGTGGATGCTGGAGTTTCAGGATAACCTTGGTACATCCAACCAAGGTCAAGTCACAGAGCCTTTGATGCTGTTTCTGCTGGCATTACCACCTTTGTCATTCCTGGAGATCACAGGCTGTGGACCCTCCCTAGTGCTATGGCTTGCTGCAGCCACTGGTCTTGAATCTCTTCATTACTCATGAAAACTTTATCCTAAGTGAATTAACACACCAACAGAAAATCAAATATTGCATGTTTTCACTTATAAGTGGGAGCTAAACATTGAGTGCAGATGACATAACAAGGAGAACAATAGACAATGGGGACTACTAGAGGGGAGAGGTAGGGAGGAAGGCAGAGATTGAGAAACTGTCTATTAGGTACTATGCTCACTACCTGGGTGATGGGATTTGATTATTCGTAGCTCAAACTTCAGTGTCACACAATGTACCCCTTGAACCTAAATTAAAAGTTGAAATAATAAAAAAACACTTTAATGTAGAAAAGAACATCTGAACTGACTAGCTCTAGACTCATTGTCCAAATCATAATTTCTAGGGTATTGGGGAAGGAGTTAATTTCCCAACAATATGACACCCAGTGAGAAATTTTCCCACAAGGGAAGGGAAATTGCATTGAGGACATCCAATCTAAAGATACTTACTAGAAGTATTATTATCTAGAATCCTCAGCATTTTCCAGAAGTAGATGTTCACTTATTACAAATATCTCTGAGAAATCGAATTACAAATCAGATTCTAACACAGATATTTCTGACTACAGATAGGGCCAGGATTCTTAATCATTTTGCTATCCTCCAAACTCCCTCAAGTAATCTCTTCACTGACAGAAGCAGCAGATAGTGAAAACTTTGGGCAATGAGAAATGCTGTCCAAATGCAAAGGATTCTTACTCTTATCCACATTTGCTAGATGCAATTGTATGAACATTTGGAATAGCATATCATTGTGGATAGGAATATGGACACTGACATTGCTGCCTGGGATTAAATTCTGACTCTGTCACTTACTAGCTGTGAGATTTTAGACAAGTGATTCAATTCTAAGTGCGTCAATTTTTGTATCTATACCATGGGAATAAAATAATAGAACCTGCTTCATAGAATTGCTGGGAAGATTAAATAAAGTTATATATGTCAAGTTATAAATGCAACCAGCATGTGAGAGCTCATTAATACAGGGTTAGGGTTTGAAGCATTGGGGTTTGAGATTTGCCTGTGCCAATCACAGGCAGAAATAATATACCAAGAAGCAATGCATATAGAAAAGACAGCCCTTGTGACTAGTGGTGAAAGATACCAGAAACTAGAAGGCAAAGGGTAGTCCTCATAAAAGCAGATGTGAAATGAATTAATGTTCACAGTCTAGCTCCAGGATGAGAAACTTCCCACTGGCTCTAATAGTTTGTGAGAGCCTTCGCTTTCCTCTAAAGTGAAATCAAACAAATAGAAAGATAATTGCTCCTCACTGGAAGAATTTCTCTAAGGTTAGTAGATCATTTTCTTTTGTGATTCTAGTGACTAAAGACACACGCGTATACATAATTTAGTTTCAGTCCCCAGCAGTGGCAGAAATGAGACTTTTTCAAGATAACAATATAAAATAGATTAATTTTAAGGGAAATTTTACAATTTTCCTCTCTTTCCAGCTTGGACACCTGTTGTGTGGAACCTTCAGACTGAAAGCAAATAACTATACTAAGGAAGCAAAAATGAGTTTTGCTTGTTAAACATGGTAGTTACCTTAAATTCCAGCTCTCCTATGGTATTCCTTGGACAAATAAAGACAATGATGTCCACACAAATGGTGAGCCATAATGAAACAATTCTGGAGACCTGAACTTTGGTCAACACTTAGCCACTAAGCATAATTGAAAGCTCTGACAAATCAATCTACCTCTGATATGGTTTGGCTGTGTCCCAATCCAAATCTCACCTTGAATTGTAATAATCCCCATTTGTCAAGGGTGGGACCAGGTGGAGATAATTGAATTATGGGGCCAGTCTCCCCCATACTGTTCTCATGGTACTGAATAAGTCTCACGATATCTGATGGTTTTATAAATGGGAGTCCCCCTGCACAAGCCTCTTGGCTGCTCCCACGTAAGGTGTGACTTTGCTCCTCATTCACGTTCTGCCATGATTGTGAGTCCTCCACAGCCATGTGAATTGTGAGTCCATTAAACCTCTTTCCTTTATAAATTACCCAGTCCTGGGTATTTCCTTATTAGCGGTGTGAAAACAGACTAATACAACCTCTCTTGTAATGCACAAACTCATCTATAAATTAAGAAAGTGATAAACATGACCTCAAGGTTCTTTCTGATTATTCCATGGTTAATGTCAACATTTCTGTATGAGGTACTTCCTGGTTTTCATAGTTGTTTGTTTGACAGGGGTTTATTATTGTTTGATCACCTCTTTTTCCTTCTGAGAATTGCCCCACAGCCATATGATAAGACTTAATTGATTGGCTTTTTAACATGAACCAGATGAGAGATGACCATATAATTTAAATCAGAGTATGACTAAGAAATTCATCTAGACACATGGGCTTAGCTGGGGCAATCACAAACATCCCTGGAAATTTTGTTGGCAATAAAACAAACTACTCTCTTTCTTCTTCTCTGAAGTTTTATTATAAGAAGTACATTAATAGTAGACCTTCCTTTGGCTCCCTTTTTCACAAATTTGGAAAGATCTGCCCTAAGAATGAAGACATTGTGTCCAAATTATATTACTTATGCACCTGGATTAAGCCATGCCTGAAGCTATTTGGGGCTCACTTCAGTTTCATGATGTAATAAATTTACCCATTTCTGATTACATTCGGTTCAGTTGGCTCTCTGATACTTGCAACCAAAAGAACTCTGGCTACTACAGTTGAATAACAGAAAGAGCATACCTATAAGAGGTGAAATTTAGCCTTCTGACAACATCACTAATTTACAAATGACCTATAAAGATGTTGTAAAATATCATTCAAGTATAGAGGGATTTGGCTTCTATATTTACAAAATGACCCTCAATATCTCTCTGAGTTGTTTAAAATGATGACTCTACACATTATTAGACTTCTATTACTTGGGTTTATACCTTATCTTTTCTATTCAACTGTAACTCTGTAAAGATATGAATTACATTTCAACTTTTGATCTCTACAATGTAGGTACAATGCTTATCACTTGGGAGACAGTGTATGTAAAATGAATTAATATATTAAAAATAAGCCTACATTATTTTTATGTATTTTTCATAGGTTCTATTATATGATGAGTGGCAGTTTTATGAATTAAAATCATTTCACCATTTTCCTCTGTGATTTTTCTGAGTAGTCCATGACCATGATACCATGTTGACAGCTGTTTTCCATTGAAGTGCAAAATGCCCCTACATCAGTCCTAGTTTACATGACCAAAATTTATTGCCAGGTAAGAAAATATTACATAATAGCTCTTATTCCTGTTCACAAAACTTCAAATCAATCAATCAATTAAGTAATTTTAGAAATTCAACATTTCAGCCCTCCTGCCCGACGAACAACTGGGACAAGCCTTTCAGAGTCTCTCAGCAGGACCCAGGCTAGTGACCTGAAGCGTTGGAGAAGGATTGAGTGCCTTGCACTCTCCCAGCTACTCAAACCCAAAAGAAGAACATTGTTGAACTCATGTGCAGACTGACATTGGTATTTAATACAATTTCCCCTAACCCTCCATTGAATCAGAGCCACATCTGTCAACCACGGATGGTTCTTGATTACAAGCTCCTCTCACATAGGCCATTTAGCAACTCCATGACACTGTTCACAGAAATTGGTGGCAAAAGAAATGGGTGGAACTGCCAGTGTGTATCACCAGCCCCTATTGGAGAAAATAAACTGCAGAAATGCCTCTTACAAACTTTACTCAGTCCTTGAAAGCATTCAAAGGAGCCCTGGTAATCAGTGTCAGTATACGGCATGAAAGCTGGGGAAGTGTGCAGAACAGACAGAGATCAGAGGAGGCCAAGATTATAGAGAGAGGCAGCCAGGGTGCAGAATGCCCGAATTTTACACTGTTTTGTTCCAGAACCTGCCACCTGAGTTGTTGCTGCTGCAAACGCTTGAGCTCAGTAAATCAAAGCAAAGTGGTCGACCTCAGATAGCTGCTGGATTCCTATAAGTGGTTCCCAAGCTCTTCTACTTAAAAAAGCAAGATTTCAAGCAAATTCTAGAGGGAAAAGTATGTGGTGAGATGTGGTTGAGGGAGGACGGCAGTTTTAGTTGAAGTAAAAAAGAATGTGACAGATTTCAGGCTTCTTTTCCTCATTTAAATAAAAGTATTCTTTATAAATATTTTACACATGGAGATTTCTTATCAGATTTTTATTTGAAAAAAAAAAGAATGGTACAGATGAATGAAATGTTAAGAGTCACTCTTTAGGTCAAATTAGGGACCAGAGGATGATATATTTTCTGACTATGAAACTGCACAGACACAGGAAAGGTGTCAAAAACTTTCGGAGATTTCCCCATCCAAAAACAGGAAGATGTGGGTGCCACTGAGAGCAAGTTCTATAAAGCAATGTTAAAGGTTGTGGGAACGGGAAAATGGGGAGGAGAAGGGACTATCCAGAGACACACTGCTCAAGGGCAACCGGCTGAGTTAAGAACTGCATTCTTTCTTTTTCTTTTTTTTTTTGCTTAAATTATACTTTAAGTTCTAGCATACATGTGCACAACGTGCAAGTTTGTTACATATGTATACATGTGCCATGTTGGTATGCTGCACCCATTAACTCATCATTTACATTAGGTATTTCTCCTAATGCTATCCTTTCCCCATCCCCCTACCTCATGACAGGCCCCAGTGTGTGATGTTCCCCACCCTATGTCCAAGTGTTCTCATTGTTCAATTCCCACCTATGAGTGAGAACATGTGATATTTGTTTTTCTGTCCTTGCAATAGTTTGCTCAGAATGGTTTCCAGCTTCATCCATGACCCTACAAAGGACATGAACTCATCCTTTTTTATGGCTGCATAGTATTCCATGGTGTATATGTGTCATATTTTCTTAATCTAGTCTATCATTGATGGACATTTGGGTTGGTTCCAAGTCTTTGCTATTGTGAATAGTGCCACAATAAACATACGTGTGCATGTGTCTTTATAGGAGCACGATTTATAATCCTTTGGGTATATACCCAGTAATGGGATCACTTACTGCATTCTTTCTTAAGGCAGACAGAGGAGCTGTTCACCATCTCCCTTGGTTGAGCACAGGCCAAGGGAGAATTTCTACGATGTGTGTGTGGTTGAAGCATGATCAATCCATGTCTTTTTGGTTCATTTGACCATGATATGAACCAGAATATGCGTATACAGTTGCTGAGGCAGTCAGTGGACAGATTTCCATCTGGTGTTATTTCTGGGAATGTTTTCTGGCTCATCACCCTTTTCTAAAACAAACTAAAATCACAGACTTTTATTTCTGTATTATTTTTTATTTGTCTCTCTCCTCTATTTGCTTCTTATTTTTATGCACCTTTTACCTTGTCCACCAATTAAGACATACATCCGTCCCATAGGGCATAGGAACAAGACGTGGTCCTTTTTGTTAAGGAGGTTGGAGTTTGGTGAGAGACCTAATCATCATGAGGAATGCTACTTGCAAAGCATCAAGGCATAATGACTAATTGTTTAGTCTCTCAAATTAAAGTAACTGGGTGGAATCTCTCTGCTTAGCTGAATGTGTGCATGACCTTAGATTCTTTGCTTGTATCTCTAGGTCTCAGTCTCCTGTGAGTACCATGAGGAAACATGCACTGCAGGGATGGAGGGGGTAATACGTGTGTGTTGACTGGAATAACATCCCATTCTAAAACACAGGTCTGCATTCCACTCCCCAGGACCTGTGAATATGCAGCTTTATATCAGCAGAACAAGCTACTGTTATAGAAAACATAAGGGGTCTGCACTCACACAGAACTGGGTTTGAGTTCTGAGTCCTTCGGTTTGCTACCAGCATGGCGTTTGGCAAGTTACTTAACTACTTGGAGTCTCAGAGCCTCATATCAAAATGAAGGTAAGAATGCAGGTCTTCCTGAGTTGTTGTGTGGATGCACACTTCTGGAATTATGTATTCACTGGGCTCCTTCTCTAGATTCCTAGCTACTTAGGAGCAGGGTCTATTCTGTATGCCTCATATCTGGCACTGTTGGGACTTAACAGAGCATTGTTCAATAAGCAGAAGTATGTGCAAAGTACTATGAAAACAAAGAGAAGGCAAAGACACCATGTTTCTAGGGGCTGTGGGAAAGCTTCAGAGAGATGGCTTTTGAGCTAGTTTGAAATGAGACAAATCTGCAGGTTTCTACCTCGATTTAAGCAGCATTCATGGAAACAGCTCACACTTACTGAACATCTACTATATCCTCTTTGTGAATACACTATTTTTATCCCTCAAAATCTTTACATTTTCCATGCTCATTTACACGAAAAGGAAGTGATGCTAAGAGAGAACAAATAACATAGTCAACTCACACAACTTGTAAGAAGTAGCATCGAAATTCTAAGCTGGCCCTGTCTTATTCCAAAGAATCATAACCCAGCTTGCTCTGACATGATCTCTTGGTGTGGAGATGAGCTAGAAAAGTAAGTGTTAGTGCTGATTTGTGACAAGCCTATTGTGAGGCAGCCTCCTTCTCCAAATGTTGAAGAAGTTATTAACCAGACAGAATGGCTGGCTGGATGTGTTCTCAGGTTCTGTGAATTTCAAGAAACTTCCCTGCTCCCTCCACAGTCATTTTCAACCTTCCCTGCCAGTCTCTGGATTGTGCTGTTGGTGACCCTGAGGAGGAACTTCACAATGTTTTCAGGCCCCAGATTCTGCTTTGTTCTGAACACAGTACTAAGAAGGACATCCCAGATCCCAAAGATGGCCTCCCTATTCTCTCATCTTTCCTGAGATTTCAGAGTGCCACACAAACATGAGGAAACACATCTCCGAAAGAGTCCCATTTGGCAAACTGCTAAGAGGGTTCTTGGTTGGCAATCAAAACAGCACTTTGAAAAGAGCTGTGTCTGGGTGGAACTGCCCTGCTTCTTGCTATTAAAGGGAAATCTAACCACAGGGTTATCTTTGCTGTCTATCATGTCTGTTTTTCCTCACACAAAAAGGACATGACTTTTATGGTTCTGAAAAAATAGTCCTGCATGTGATATCTTTTGTAAGAAACACATTGCTTCTAGGACAAAAAGCTTTTTCTGTTGGTTAATTAATTAGTATTTATTTTCAAAGTTGTTTGCATCTTCTCTACACCCATTTTTTTCCAAAGGGGAAAAACAAAAACAAAACAAAACAAAAAAACAGAGAATGAAGTGGGTCTACCCAGAACATCACAGCTAAAATTTACAGACACCACAGTATTGACCAGAAAGGACAATAATGAAAGGGGGAGAGAAAAACAGGTCATCATGCTGTTCCTACTGAGTAAAATGATAAACATGGGCTAGACAAGGGTCGTGAGAAATGTAAGAAGCCCCAAAAGTATATGTAATGTTTACTTTGTATGCTTTCTTTAAGGTGCACGAGCCCATAATTTATATCATATTCTCAACTGGAGCCATGACTTCAAAATGGCAAAGAAGCACTTCTCTAACTAACAGCTCAAGTCATTTTCAACCACAATATTATTCTTCTGTGCATTATTATTCACATTATGTTTCAGATGCTCTGCAAGGGACAGAATCTGACTTATTTTCTTTAATCCAAATAACAACAGAAATACTAGTTGACATATATTGGGTGTTTATTTTGTTTCAGGAACCATAATAGCACTTAAATACTTAATCTCGTTTAATCTCAGAAACACATTGAATCAGAAACTATTTTACAGATGAGGAGTCTAAAATGCGAAGTGATTTTCTGAGTTTATGATTCCAAGGAGTGGTGGAGCCCAGGTTAGAACCAGCTTACCTCCAGGACTTGTTCTTTCAACAGCAGTGTGTTACTGCGATTATTTCCAAACTTACACTTTTCCAATGATTTCTATGCATTGTTTCATTTTATCATCACAAGAATCTCCTGTGGTGGCTACTTATTATATTATTTTCACTTTACCTTGTAGGAAACTGACTCAGGGACCTCTCAGCTGAAAGTGTTTTGACATAAACACTTAGAAGTGGCAGAGCCCATTGTTGATCCACATTGCAGTTCCTTCCTTTTCCTATAAGATGATTTTATTTTCCCTCTAACCTGAAGTCTGGTTAGGTCATGAGAATTGATCTGGCTCAGGCCATGTGTGCACAGTGACAGGTAGAGGCTTGACCATCCATTGTGGACTTTGCCACAGTCTTTTCCTCTGTCATCACTCACAGAACACGGCATCTACACCATGAGCCTTAGCCCTGGGGTAGGCCCAATAACAGAGTGGAATACAGGTCACAGTTGACTATAGTGAACACACACATAGTGTGAATAAGAAAGAGAATTATGATGTTTTAAGTTCCTAAGATTTTAGCTTGTTAGTGTCCTTAGTATAACCTGGTCTATCTCTAGGTTTAGATGACTCAAAGTCCATGTAATTAGCCTTCTGATGGGTATTATCCTAAGTCTAAAAGTGAACTCTATTGATCCCACAGGACAGGATGAGTATGAAGAAATCTAATACTGTCTAGCTCATCTACACAAATGGTCAGGAGATTTAGCTCAGCTCCCTGTCCTCCTCTCACCATAGGCCCGGCCAGATGAACCTGTCAAATAAAGAGGACCAGGACTGGGGTGTGGGACCTGGATGAGGCTGAGGTGTACCTTCTTCCCTGCCATGCACTCTGTGATTCAGGGCCAGGCTGGGTCCTATGATTGGGCATGGAGTCCCATGTCAAGGCACTCTGATTAATCAGGAAGCTAAGTAGCTGGAAGAGCATCGCTGACTGTCTGATTTTCACAGGAACTCACCAAGATAGCCAGGGTTTTGGCTAAAGAGCAAGGACAGGGCAAGAAGTCCTTGATGCCTCCTCATGATGGACCCAAAGAGGCATATTTGTCTTTGCAATCAGGAAGTGCCTGCAAAGAAAAGATGTGAGCAGGACTGTGATTTTACACACACACACACGCACACACACACACACACACTCAGGCATAGACACTCACACTCCCACATTAACAAACACACACACTCACATACACCATACTCATACACTGATGGATGCACACACACAAGTACGCACTCCCTCACCCACACATGCACACAAATGATGAACTGTCCTTCATTTTCACTCCACTATTTATTTTGCCACTACAGTTTGATTTTAAGAATAATAAATTTTACTGCATAGGGTTGTTGGGAAAAATATATCTATTAGTGAGGTGTCAAAAACAGGACCTGACATTTCAAGGTTGCTCAATGAATGTATGGCCTGTCTTACCTTCTGATTTTCTTTTCCAGTAGTGACATTGATGTTGGGAATTAGTTCCAGACATAATTTACTGAAGAGTAGGAAAATAGCTGGCTATGGTCTGTCTAATAACCTCCACATGAGGATCTAGAAGCCACTTTCCAACCTTTCCAGCAAAAGACTAAATACGTCTCTAAGACATCAGATTAACCAGAAGAAGAAAAATATTTGAACTGCTAAAGCGTTCTTGCTTCCTGAGTCTCTGTGGTTTTTCTATTCTCAAGTGTTCTCTGGGAGGTTACCAAGTGATCAGATGTGGAGAAGAATTAACATTCCTCAGTACTATGATCAAATACTGGGTTTCTAACCAACTCCAATATTATCTCAATACATGTGTGAATTCACTGAAAATTTGGTATAATTCATAACTAATAAATTTTAAAGAGTCTGAAAAATATTTTTGAAAAAAAATTGGAAAGACTTCATTCTATCACTGCTGCTTTTAACGCCCTTCCTCTCTGTCTCTTCTTTTATCTACCTGGAAAAAGTATGTGCTTCATTTTCTTCGATTAGCATGCATTTCATTCAACATTAATTGAGTAATTTAATTCAAAATACATCTATTAAGCACACTTTATATGGCAGGTGATGAAAATAACAGTGTGACCAAGGCAGCTAAGCTTTCTGTCTGCAGGTGCTTCAGATCCGAAGGAAGACTATTAAACACGATGGAAAGGAAGCCAGATGATGTCATGGCAGGCGTTAGTGGAAGCCCTGGGAACCTGTTGCCAGCCAAGCACCAAACTGAGGCCAGGATAGATAGATCAGGAATGTTCTTCACACCAGTTTTAATACTGGTAAGTCATATCCAGCTGAACAGGCTGTGAACACCACCACACGAGGTGCCCTTCACATAGATGTGATGAAAACCGTCTTCCCGGAGAGGATACAGTGAGATGCCCTTGCTCTATCTACTAATAACTAACAACTGCATACCTACACCTTGCTAGGTTTGGGAGACAAAATAGAGGACAAGTGAGCATCCCTCCAATTCTGGAGCTTAAGTTATAGTGAGAAAATCCTAAATAAAATATATATCACAAGGCAAGTTAAGGTTTGTAACTAAAATAATAGTATAATTTACCATCAAAATGGAGACACTTCTAAGAGAAAAAAAGACAGTGCTTTGTTTTGCCAGTTTCCCTCAAAGTGTCCCAGGGAAACCTAGATAGATGCTCACCCTCGTATTGGTGAACTGTGAGGGTATTAAGAAGAGGGTGTCAGCCGAGCACTGTGGCTCACACCTGTAATCCCAGCACTTTGGGAGGCCGAGGTGGGCAGATCATGAGGTCAGAAGATTGAGATCATCTCAGTTAACACGGTGAAACCCCATCTCTACTAAAAAAAAACAAGAAAATTAGCCGGATATGGTGGCGCTTGCCTGTAATCCCAGCTACTCGGGAGGCTGAGGCAGGAGAATTGCTTGAATCCATGAGGCGGAGGTTGCAGTGAGCCGAGATGGTGCCACTGCACTCCAGCCTGGGTGACAGAGCAAGACTCTGGAAGAAGAAGAAAGAAGAAGAAGGAGAAGGAGAAGGAGAAGAAGGTCAGTGAGAGAATACCTAAGGAAGTGTAAGTTAGCAGAGTAAACATGGGCCAGGTAAGCCTCCACCTCCAATTGTGGGCTTTCTGATCAGTGGTAAAAGAGTATGTCACCTGGGGACAAGAGGATGAACAGAGTCCTGCTAAAGGCCCTGTGTGCTTTCCAGCTTGACTGCAGTGAGTGAAGAAATGTAAGCACTGTAAGGAGTACTGCAGATCCCCAAACTTCTGATATGTCTTAGCCCAATGATGAAGTTTGGATCATTTTTTTTTCCTGAAGCAAAAGGAAATCATTTAAGGGTATTAAACAGAGATGTAACATGACCCATTTTGCCCTTAAAAATATTTCTAGTTGTGGTAGGGGGATAAATTAGAGGGAGCCAACCAGGAAGAAGAAGCCACCTGAGAGGGCTGCAGTATCCTAGCTCCTAGCACGGAGGCAGCAGGTGGCCAGAAGCAGCAGAGGTGCAGGGTGTTCAGGAGGTAGACTCACTAAGATTTAGTAATCAAGTGAGAGGGACTGAGAAAGGGAGGGGGTGGAAATGCAGTTTACTGAGAAAGGTAACCTAAGGGAAGGAGGGCACTGATTGAGTTCGAGTGGCTGGATTTTAAGTGTCCTGGAAACATCCAAGTGGAGGCATTAATAAGTAAGCAGTATAGATGTCAGGAAAGGATTTTAATTAGAGACAGTGCTTCAAGATTCATTATAACTTGAATGGTAATTAACAGGAATGAATGAAAGAATTCCTCCTATTGTCAAAGGAGATAAATAAGACCATGAGAAATACCAATATTTCAGCAGGAAAAAAAATCCAGGATCCCAGGAAATTTCTGAGAAGGAATATGTAAGAAGAAGAGGAAAAGAGGAAAATCCAGAATAAAATTGTACCACTCTTCCCCCTCCCTCACACAGACAGAGACAGACATGGAAAGAAAATGATTCTCAGAAGAAGGAGTAATAGTAATCACTTGTTAGAATCAAAAACTGGATGCAGACCAAACATTAAAACTATGTTCAATAAAAATAAATACATCAGTGACCTAGGAGAAGACCATTTTTATTTACTCCTATTTCTCTCCTTTCCCCACATATATACACTCACTAGAAGAAAATTCCTTCAGGACAGAAGGTCTGTGGTGTTCCTCGATGTATCCAGGACTGGCTCCAATGTCCAGCTCATAGTGGCTGCTCAAGGAGCATTTACTTTTGAATGCGTGGAAAGTAAGGAAGAAAAACTGATCCAGTAATCCCACTACTGGCCATCTATCCAAAATAAAGAAATTATTATATCAAAAAGATACCTGCACCTGGCTGGGCATGGTGGCTCACGCCTGTAATCCTAGCACTTTGGGAGGCGGAGCCAGGCAGATCACCTGAGGTCTGGAGTTCGAGACCAGCCTAGCCAACAACATGGTGAAACCCCTTGTCTACTAAAAATACAAAAATTAGCAGGGCATAGTGGTGCATGTCTTTAATCCCAGCTACCTGGGAGGCTGAGGCAGGAGAATCACTGGAACCCAGGAGGCAGAGGCTGCAGTGAACTGAGACACACCACTGCACTCCAGCCTGGGTGACACAGCAAGACTCCGTCAAAAAAAAAAAAAAAAAAAGATAACTGCACCTATATGTCATCATGTCATCACAGCCCTATTCACAATAGCAAAGATATGGAGTTAACCTTAATATCCACCAATGGATGAATGGATAAGGAAAATGCGATATATATACGCAATGGAATACTGTTCAACCATAGAAAAAAATAAAATCATGTATTTTGCAGCAACATGGATAGAACTAGAAGCCATTATCTTAAGTTAAACAGCTCAGACATAGAAAGGCAAATGCCACATGCTCTTACTTATAAATGAGAACTAAATAATGTGTACAGACTGGGCACGGTGGCTCACGCCTGTAATCCCCGCACTTTGGGAGGATGAGGCAGATGCATCACCTGATGTCAGGAGTTCGAGACCAACCTGACCAATATGGTGAAACCCCATCTCTAATAAAAATACAAAAATTAGTCGGGCATGGTGGCATGCACCTGTAGTCCCAGCTACTCAGGAGGCTGAGACAGGAGAATTGCTTGAACCCGAGAGGCGGAGTTTGCAGTGAGCCGGAGCCAAGATCACGCCACTGCACTCCAGCCTGGGAAAGAGAGCGAGACTCCGTCTCAGAAAAGTAAAATGAAATAAATGTGTAGGACATAGTGTGGAATGACAGACAATGGAGATTTGAAAGTTTGGGGGAGTTCAGGGGTGGTATTGATTAGAAATTACTTAATAGGTACAATGTATGTTATTCTGGTCATGGAAACACTATAAGTCCTGACTTCACCACTACCCAATATATCTGTCTAACAAAATTACATTTGTATTTTATAAATTTTTACAAATAAAATTGTTTAAAAGGAAAATACAATCATGAAAAATGTTTGCCTAGAAGTCTTGATTTCCAGTGCAGAGGCAGCCTGAATATGGGGTAGTCTCAATTAATTTTAAGACAAAATGAATTTTGAATAAGTTCAGGGTGAGCTGAAAATAGCACATTCTAAGTAAAGAAGTTTCCACCTAGCCTTGCTTTGATGAGTTGGGAAAGAAATTGAACAAGATGAAGCATTTTCAACTCTCAGCCAGAATATGCCAAAATCCATCTCTCTAAAGCAGATCTTAATCACAGTCAAATTTCTCCTCAAAGTACATTAAGTTTGTATAAGCCTCCGGGCTTCATTCAAGTGAGCTACAGCTAACTCTTTCTGTCTCTCCCTCAATTACCATCATTGGTGAGTTATTAAGGCAACAAATTGTATTTAAGTATGTTCTTGACAAGGTCCCTCCTCCCTTGTAGCTAGAAGGAGACCCACGACATACCAGTGAGCCCTAACCTAGGATCATGGGGATGATTTGGGAAAAGCATTTCTGCCCTAACAGAGTGATATGTCCCTGATGCCTTTCTCTTTCTCTTCTGCCATGTTATTTCTGAGGCATAACATGAGATTTTGGAAGTTCAGGGGAATCACAGGGCGGTTAAAATCATTGATCTGTGGCAAACAAATTAGAATTAGCTTCTCTCCAGTTTTCTTATTGTATGAAGAATGTAAACCCTGACCTGTTTAGCCTATTCCTAATTTCTGGCTCCTTGCTGCTAAAATTATTCCTAACCGAAACAGCACACTTTCCAACTTGGGTCAACATTCTCTCCTTTCCATGCTCATTGGAACCTTCCAAATATTTCAAGATTCAGTTCAAATACCACTTGATTCATCAAACATTTCCTTATGAGTTAAGCTGACATTAATCTCTCGCTACTCTCTTTTGTCATACCCCTCTATATATTTAACTTCTGAATGTCTGTATAAATGTATACACAATTATTTGCATGCATGTTTTTTGAGAGTAGAAGTATGATATTCTTTTTGATATCTTTTATAGTAGGGGTGTGAAAATATTTTGTATAAAGGGCCAGAAAGTGATATTTTAGGTTTGTAGGTTATACAGTTTCTGTTGCAGCTACTCAATTTTTCCACTGTAGCTTGAAAGCAATCATAGACAATATGTAAACAGAATGGCAAAGCTATGCCCCTGTAAACTTTATTTACAAAACAGATGTCAGACCTGATTTAACCTTTGGGCATAATCTGCCAACCTCTGTAACAGAGATCTATGATATACTCTTGAATATTCTGAAAACAATATTTATTGATTGGATGAAAATGTATAAATGGATAATAATAGGCAATCCCTTTCCTCTGCTTTCAACAAGTGTATGTCACATATTAATCTTTGAATAAGTGTAAACATCAGGCAATGGAGGCAGTAATGTGCATCACAGTATTTTCCAAAATGTAGAATAGAAGCTGTTTTCAGTCCACAAGATGTATTTAGGTGGTAAGAAACTTGCTGTTTAATAGCATAATTTCCACAGGTTAAATGAAAGTCTCAGTTCACGGTTAATCTCTTTTAAACACTAAGTGATCTTCCCATTCGGACAGAAAGAAACACCTACCAGACAGTGGAACAGAAAATACAGCAAGTCCTTAAGAAAAGCATATTCAAATTCATACTGTTTAGTATCTGTATTTAAATGTATATTATCATAAATATCAACCCATATCTATAGAGTTTTTAGGAAGTGTTTAACTCAAGGTAATTAATGGATTTATGAAAAAAATAAGTAGCAGGCAGATAAAATAAAACATTCATGAGGGGACATGTGAATAATTGAAGACAGGGAAATATGGATTAAGTTTAGTTTGATTACTCTGCAATAAAAATAACTCACTTCAAATCATGGACTTGCCATCAATAAGCTTTATGGCTCTAGACAAATTTTATAACTTATCTAAGGCTAAATTTCCTCATTTATGGGAAAAAAAATTATTGAGAGGGTCAGCATATCTAATGAATGTAAAACTTCCTTATAAACCATTATACAAATTTCACTTATTAATAACAAACCTAGCTTATTTTGAATCAAAGAAGCTTTCAGCAGATTTTTCTCAATTATTAATATTACCTTGCAGTTTGTGCCTGAGACAAAAGCAATCAAGCATTTTTTATTGAACATGAAGATATTAATATTCTGCTTTAGAGTCAACATACAGGCATACTTGAGCACCTATTAGTTTAAAGAAAAATGTAGGTATTAACACCTTATTTGGGTCATAAAATTGGTTATTTAACAAATAACCACATTCTAATGTGTAACATGTTTATCACAATTTAGTGGCGGCATGTTGAAAATTGTCGCCTTTTACAAAATTTACTGTTCAGTTTTATTCTAGCTGTATAATATTAGCAATAAATCCACAAGTAATATTGTGACTTTTTTCAATTGATTAAACTGAAATCATGGATACAAGTTAAATGTTGGAGATTATATTTATTGCTGATCTATAATACCTAGTTTATGTAGAATACATTTAAAATGGCCACAATGTTCAGAATATTCAGAAAGAAGTAAATCCACGATATATCCCAGAATATTTTTCGTTTAAACTTTAGATGGTATCTCTTTGAAATATCACCTAATGTAAATAAAAAGCTTTACACGCTAAATGACCTCCATAAGAACAGGAAAATTGTTACATTAATGGTTCCTAGTGCATAGTAGGAATTCAATAATTGGTAAAAAACTTGCATTCATTTTCTATGCTGCTGTAAGAAAGTATCACAAACTTAGAGACTTAAAGCAACATACATTTATTATGTGAAAGTCAGATGTTCAAAATGGGTCTCACTTGACTAAAATCAAGGTGTCAGCATACTGGCATCCTTTCTGGAGGGTCGGGATGAAAGTCCCTTCCCAGCTTCTAGAGGCCCTCTGTATTTCTTGGCTATGGTCTCTTCCATCTTCAAACCAGCAGCATAATTATTTGAATCTTGGGCCTCTACTTCCACTGACATATCTCTTTCTTTCATTTTAATCTACCTGCCTCGCTCTTATAAGGACTTTTGTAAAGACATTTTGTCTACTCTGGTTATTCAAGGTAATATTCCCACTTAAAGGTCTTTATATTTCTTGCCTTGAAAGGTACCATCTTTACAGAATTCAGGAATTAAGATATGAACACGTGAAGGGCATTATTCTGCCTACCACAGGTCTTCAAGATCAAATTTTTAATTATTCAAGCTTAATATTTCAAGTCACTACTACTTTTTCTAGATTAGAAGAGCTATATAGCCATTAAATACTGGTCCTATCAAAAAATATCAGCATCTAATAATACTAGCTAGTCTTTCAAGAACATTAAATTGAGGACTTTTCATGTATTATTTCACTTAAGTCAAAAAGTTGAAAATATGCCAGATGGAATTACTGATATATAAAATTATAGATGTATGAATATATTCTCAATAGATGCAGAAAAAGCATTCAATAAAATTCAATATGCTTTAATGATAAAAATTCTCAACAAAGTTGGTGTAGAAGGAACATACTTCAAGTTAATAAAAACTACATATGACAAACACATAGCCAGCATTATACTGAACAGAGAAAAGTTGAAAGCATTCCTCATAAGAACCGGAATAAGACAAAGATGCCCACTTTCACCACTTCTATTCAACATAGTCCTATAAGTGTTAGCCAGAGCAATCAGGCAAGAGAAAGAAATCAAGGGTATCCACATGGAAAAACGGAAAGTCAAATTACCTCTGTTTGCTAGTGTTATAATCTTATACCTAGAAAACCCTAAAGACTCCTCCCAAATACTCCTAGATTGATAAATGAGTTCAGTAGAGTCTCAGGTTACAAAATAAATGTACACAAATCAATAGCACTGCAATATACCAACAACAACCGCACTGAGAATTAAAACAGGATACAATACCTGCATGACAAACAAACAAAAACACAGATATAGCAACAAACTTAACCAACGCGTTACAAGATTTCTACAAGGTGAACTACAAAAACACTGCTGGAAGAAATCATAGATGACACAAACAAATGGAAATACATCCCATGTTCATGGATAGGAAGAATCAATATCATGAAAATGGCCATGCTGTCTGAAGAAATATACAGATTCAATGCAACTCCTATAAAAATATCCATGTAATTCCCCACAGAATTAGAAAAAGATAATCCTAAAGTTAATGCGGAACAAAAAATAAGCCCAAATAGTCAAAATTATTCTAAGCAAAAGGAACAAATCTGGAGGCATCACATTACCCAACTTAAAATTACTCTATCAGGTTATAGCAACCGAAAGAGCATGGTACTACTGGTATAAAATTAGATACATAGACCAATGGGACAGACGAGAGAACCCAGAAATAAAGCCAAATACTTACAACCAGTTGATTGTTGATGAAATATACAAAAGCAAAAAACTGGAGAAGGTATATCTTATACAATAAATGGTGCTGGGAAAATTGGATAGCCATATGTGGAAAAATGAAACTGGATTTTGATTTCTCACCATATACAAAAATTAACTCAAGATGGATTAAAAACTTAAATCTAAGACCTGAATCCACAAAAATTCTAGAAGAAAACTGAGGAAAAACCCTTCTGGTATCAGCCTAAGCAAAGAATTTATGACAGACCCCAAAAGCAAATGCAACAAATACAAAAATAAATAAATTGGACTAAATAAAATTGAAAAAAAAAAACTACTGCACAGCAAAAGAAATAACAATCACTTTTAAAAGACAACCTAAAGAATGGGAAGGAATATTTACAAGACATGAATCTGATAAAGAACTTATATCAAGAATCTTCAAGGAACTCAAATAAGTGAAAATAAAAATCAAATAATGTCACTTAAAAGTGGGCAAATGACATGAATAGGCATTTCTCAAAATAAAATATATAAATGTGCAATAAACATATGAAAAAATGCTCAACATCACCAATCATTAGGGAAATTAAAATTTAAACCACAGTGAGATACCACCTTACTCCAGCCAGAATGGCCACTATTAAAAGTAAAAAAAAAAAAAAAATTGTTGGTGCAGATGTGGTAAAAAGGAAATGCTTATATACTGTTGCTGCAAATAGTACAACGTCTATTAAAACAATTTGGAGATTTCTCAAATAACTAAAAGTAGATCTACCATTCAATCTAGCGATCCCACCACTACTGGGCATCTACCCAAAACAAAGGAAATCATTACATCAAAAAGACACTTGCATGAATATGTTTATCACAGCATAATTCACAATTGCAAAGACACTGAATCAACCTAAGTCCCCATCAATGGATGAGTGGCTAAAGAAAATGTGATCCCCACACACACACACACACACACACACACACACACTGTGGAATACAACTCAGCCATAAAAAATGAAATAATGTCTTTTGCAGCCACTTAGATGGAACTAGAGGACATTATTCTTATTGAAGTAACTCAGCAATGAAAAACCAAATACTGCATGTTCTCACTTATAAATAGAAGCTAAGCTATGAGTAAGCAAAGGCAGACAGAGTGGTATAACAGACACTGAAGACCCAAAAGGGGTAAGGTGAGAGAGGGATCAAGGATGAAAAACTACCTAGTGGGGTACAATATAAACTGCTTGGTGATGGGTGCACTAAAATCTCAGACTTCACCACTACACAATTCATCTATGCAACCAAAAACCACTTGTATCCCAAAAGCTATTGAAATAAAATAAAATTTAAGAAAGAAATTATAGATATATAGGTATATTATATTTCACTCAGGGAAAAAAATCCTAATTCAAATATAAAGTATTGCTATATAGCAGTTATGCAGAGAACTTCTTTAATTTATTGGCAGGAAGAGTTTGAAATTAGCATTATCTTTTTATTTAAAGTTAATTAATTCTGAAGGCCAGGTGTGGTGGCTCATGCCTGTAATCCCAGCATTATGGGAGGCCGAGGCAGGTGAATTGCTTGAATCTAGAAGTTAGAGACCAGCCCAGTCAACGTGGTGAAATCCCTTCTCTACAAAAAATACAAAAATTAGCTGGGCATGGGGGCTCACACCTGTAGTCCCAGCTACTTGGGAGGCTGATGCAGGAGGATTGTTTGAACTCAAGAGGTGGAGGTTGCGATGGGTTGTGATCATGCCACTGCACTCCAGCCTGGACAACAGAGCAAGACCCAGTCTCTAAAAAATAAAAATTAAATTAATTAATTAATTCTTTTCATGGGCCAATAATAAATTATAATGACAGAGTTACAAATGAGCCTTGTTTACACTGCTAATTCTAAATTACACTTATTTATTTGTATTGCAAGAGGAAAACTTATCCTAAGTCTGTAAAAATGGTACAAATCTTGTATCTGTTTTCTAAACTACAGGTAGTTTTTTACAATCAATAATCATTTATTTTATGAAGCATCTTGAGAGTTTAAGCCTAGCAGATATTTTTATCCCATTTTATTTTTGGTTAGTGCAAAAGAAATTGCAGTTGTTGTTCTTAAAAGGAATGGCAAAAACTGCAGTTACTTTTGCACCAACCTAATAGAAGAGTAGCTAAAGTCCAGAGGACTTTAAAGAGCTTTCAAAGTTGTATAGGTGATAAAGACTCAAGATTTCCTCACTCTTCATTAATTTCCATCACTATCAATCAGTTATGAACTTAAGGTATTATACTACCTATGTTGGGGCCGGGCGCGGTGGCTCACGCCTGTAATCCTAGCACTTTGGGAGGCCGAGGAGGGTGGATCACGAGGTCAGGAGATCAAGACCATCCTGGCCAACATAGTGAAACCCCATCTCTACTAAAATACAAAAAATTAACTGGGTGTGGTGTCATGCACCTGTAGTCCCAGCTACTCAGGAGGCTGAGGCAGGGGAATCGCTTGAACCCGGGAGGTGGAGGTTGCAGTGAGCTGAGATTGCACCACTGCACTCCAGCCTGGTGACAGAGTGAGGCTCTGTCACAAAAAAAAAGGAGGTATTATACTGCCTGTGTTGTGTTATTTGCTAATCCAAAACAATTAGGTGCCAACAGCAAAATTAAAGAGAAAGCAATAGAGGAATCAAGAAGGTTAGTCAGGCACAGTGGTTCATGACTGTAATCTCAGCACTTTGGGAGGCTGAGATGGTGAACCACTTGAGGTCAGGAGCTCGAGACGAGCCTGACCAACATGGTGAAACCCTGTCTCTACTAAAAATACAAAATTACCTGGTCATGGTGGCGCATGCCTGTAATCCCAGCTACTTGGGAAGTTGAGGCAGGAGAATCGCTTGAACCCAGGAGGCAGAGGTTGCAGTGAGCCGAGATGGCACCATTTCACCCCAGCCTGAGCAACAAGAGTGAAATTCCATCTCAAAAAAAAAGAAAAGAAAAGGAAGTCGACAGTAGTTACAGTGAAACTCAGGAACATGTTGTGTGGGCATCTGTGCCATTCTATGTCTATGGCAGGAATCAAGGGACTGGATGTCCCTAATGTCAAACAATCATCATGGCCTCTTTAGTGTAATGAATCTGACTCTGAAATCTATATTTGAATGTTGACTTAATGAAATTCTTGTTAGAAGTTATCAAAGATATTTGAGTTTTTGAGTTGTCTCCTGATACATGGTATTTTTATTAAAATTTACCGTCTAAACCAAATATTAAAAAATGAAAACAAAAAACTATCACCCTCTGCTGCACCTCTATAGCAGTGTCTCAATCAATTACATGTTAACAAAAATCTATGTTAATTTAACAATTTTTTATCGTCTCAAGTCAACTTTCCAATGGCCAACTGACAGGGGAAGAAAATTTGGGCCCAAATTTCCCATTAATCATTTCGAAAAGTTGACAGGAGTTCACAGTGGATAGCAGCAGCCATACTCCTTTACTCCAGGGTGACCCTAAGGACAACGGTGAAAGGAATCCTCCCAGGGGGTACAGTGCCTAGCGGTGCACATTTTCTTTCACTGTATGAAAGAGAAAGACAAACGGCTCAAGGTCAGAAATATACAGATGCCTGGGCAGGAGAGTGGCAAATGAGATGGCTATGTAGCCTATATTAGTCAGGGTTCTCTAGAGGGACTGAATTAATAGGATAGAGGTACGTATATGAAAGTAAGTTTATTGAAGAGCATTGACTTACAAGATCACAAGTAAAGTCCACTACAGGCCTTCTGCAAGCTGAGGAATAAGGAAGCCAGTAGTGGATCAGCCTAGGTCCCAAAACCTCAAAAGTAAGGAAGC
This sequence comes from Homo sapiens, assembly GCF_000001405.40. Taxonomy (NCBI): domain Eukaryota; kingdom Metazoa; phylum Chordata; class Mammalia; order Primates; family Hominidae; genus Homo; species Homo sapiens. The sequence continues at coordinate 136,633,375 of NC_000008.11, read as the reverse complement.
TGAAAGTGCAGCCTTCAGTCTGTGGCCAAAGGCCCAAGAGACCCTGTCAAACCACTGGTGTAAGTCCAAGAGTTCAAAAGCTGAAGAACTTGGAATCTGATGTTCAAGGACAGAAAGCATCCAGCATAGGAGAAAGATGAAGGCCGGAAGACTCAGCCAGTCTAGTTCTTCCATGTTCCTCCTCAGATGATTAGATGGTGCCCACCCAGATTGAGGGTCAGTCTGCCTCTCCCAGTCCATTAACTTAAATGTTAATCTCCTTTGTTAGCACCCTCACCTACACACACAGGATCAATACTTTGTATCCCTCAATCCAATCAAGTTGGCACTCAATATTAACAATCACATAGTCAAAAGCCTTAGAGTCAAGAATGAAAAATCAGAGCAAGGATGTTGAGGGATGACACACCTGTATGAATGGATGGGAAAATATGTGAACACAAAGGTAAAGATCTTTTTTTTTTCTTAGAGCCCACTATAGAGCAACCAGCAAAGAAGAAATACTTAACAATCAGAATAATCTATCCTGAGTATGTCACTCTGCCTTGATTCTCAGCCATTCTGGTGCTGGCAAAACAAGACCATGAACAGACGGGATGAAGTGATCAGATGGAAACTATGCATGTGCCCAACAGCATGGACTTTCTCTCACCAAGCTAGATTCTCACGGCTGTTTGTTCATGCTGCTATATTATTGAAGTGTGACACTGAGAATTCATTGTAGCACCATCCATGGTGAGCCTGGTTAGATTATAGTAGGTTCTTTCTTTTCTGGATGGGGCAGAGATGTATCATTACCACAATTGACACCTGCATTGGGTATGTGTTTGTCTTTCCTGCTTTAATAAATCTAGGAGGGCTCCCAAGATATCCCACCCTTGGTGTGCATTTCCTGAATAGTCCCTAGGACTATGAATATGATGGACTTTAGTCCTGTGATTAGAATATATTAATTGGCACAGTTGACTTTATGATGGAATATTATCCTGGTGGATTTTACCTAATCAAATGAGCCCTTTGAAAACAACCATATTTCTGGCTGGTCACAGAACAGAAAATTGGAGATTCAAAGTGCAAGAAGAATTTGATGTGTCACTGTGAGCTTGGAGATGGAGGAGACAATTCTGTAAGAAACGTGGCTGCCTCTAAGACCCCAGAGTGGTCTTCAGTTGACAGCCAGCAAGGCAATGGGAACATCAGTCCTCTAACTTCAAGGATATACATTTTTCCAACATGTAAAATAAGTTTGGAAATAAAAATTTTCCTCAGAGGCTCCAGACAAGAATGATTGATTTGCTGAAATGGGATCCCACACAACATCTCTTCAGAATGAGAGACCCTTTCCATGACAGAGCAGTTTTTGCAATGGTTGGGGGCAACTGAATCTTAGTACCATGTGTCACAGTAAACACACGATCCAGGATTCATTTGTGCTACCATAAACCACATCACCTAGAGCAGCTACACGATAGATGTTGCAATGGTCAGTGGAAGGATCAGCTAAGGTACTGGCTCAGAGACAACACCCTGTGGGTTGGAGTGCTTTCCTCCAGGATTCAGTAAAGTTGTCCTCCCTTATCTACCATTTTGCTTTCCATGGTTTCAGTTACCTGCTGTCAACCATGGTCTGAAAATATTAAACGGAATATTCTAAAACAGCATGAAATTGATAAGTTTTAAATCGCAGGCTGTTCTGAGTAGTGTGATGAAATTTCATATGGTCCTGCTTTGACCTGCCCTGACATGAATCATCCCTTTGTACAGCCTATGTGGTCAACTGTAAGTCACTTAGTAGCCCTCTAGGTTATCAGATCAACTGTCACAGTATTGCAGTGCCCGTGTAAAAATAATCCTTATTTTACTTAATAATGTCCCTGAAATGGAAGAATAGTGATGTTGGCAATTAGGAAATGCTGAAGAGAGGCCATAAAAATGATTTCTCTCAGTGAAAAGGTGAAAGTTTTCTAGTTAATAAGGAAAGAAAAAGTATTGTATGCTGAGAGTGCTAAGATCTAAGGTAAGAACACATCTTCTATCAGTAAAATTGTGAAGAGGAAAAAAAAATTGTGCTAGTTTTGCTGTCACACATCAAACCGCAAAAGTTACAGCTAGTGTGATAAGTGCTTAGTTAGAAAGAAAAGTCTGTGAGTAGAAGACATGAGCAGAAACGTGTTCTGATTGGCATCAAATGGCTTCATACTATGCTCAGTTTCAGGCATCCACCGGAGGTCTTGGAGTATAGCCCTCACGTATATGGACAGAATCAACAGGCAATATATATAGTCCTCTGTCCCAAAGGTTAGGATTAAAGGGTCTGGGAACTGAGATGTGAGAGATGAATTGATCATTGCTCTAGTAACCCACTTTGGGAATTTGTACTTTGTGTACCCTCAGCTTGAGGCTCTGTCCAACAGAATCAACTGGATTTTCACCAGATGATGTAGTAATGATTCTACTGACTCTAACACAACAACTACACACGGTCATTTTCTAGTCTCTCATGTTGTTAGAGGCAACTGAATCTCAGTGCCGTATGTCACAGAAAGAAGTAAAACTAAAACTCAGATGACTAATCAAGGAAGGTTTTAGTTGTTAGTTCTTCCATGTCCTATAAATGCAAAATTGCAACAGAATCTGAAAGTGCACATTTATTAATGCCTTGTGGGGCAACCCTTGGATCAATGGGAACAGGATTATGTGGAATCTGGTACATATATGTTTCCTTCTGTTGTCCAGAGGGCATACAATTGTGAGGTGTACAGTATTTGGCTCCTCACTGGGCCCAAGCAGGACTGAGCTCTAACTGAATATGAAGAATGAAGTGTAAATTCTATCTAACCCATGCAGTTCAGGCATTTCCCATGTAGAAAGAGGAGCAAAATATTATTATACAATTGTCTCCTAACACACACTGAACAGGAAATTCCAATTAGGCAGCAGTGCTCATCAGTCTAAAGATAAAAATATGATTTAATATGGAATACCATCTAAACACCATCCCTGGGATATCTTGAGCTGTGTCCTTTTGATAGATGACTTCCAAATCGCTTTCATACACTTTCTTTGTGCTCTTTGCGTTTTATTTAATTAAGCGTTCTAATCTTTTGTCTGGAAGATTTTCTGCTGTGTCACATGATAGGCACAAATATCCTTCCACTCAGTATGCTATATGAAGATAAAGACAGAAGTTAGGAAAAAAACTAAGGCATATGAAAGACTGCCATTAAACCACCAGAGGCTAGGAGAGAGGTATGGAAGAGATTCTCCCCCAGGCCTTCAGAAGGAACCAGTCCTACTTACACCTTTGTCTTGTACTTCTAGCCTCCAGGATTGTGAGATAATATATTTATGTAGTTTTAACAACCCAGTTGGTAGTACCTTTTCATAGCAGCCCTAGCAAACTAATATAGTGACTGTCTTTATTCTGCCACCATACACCGTCTGGTCGCAGAATAGTTGCCTTGCTATATCACAGAAAATATATAATTGGCTCCCAAGACACTTAAAAGTCTCATCCCCTTACTTTTTCATGCTCAAAATGGAAGTCAGCGTTGCCATATACATTGAATTTATGTTGGAGGAATCTGCTTGAGTGTAGTTTTTCTTAAACTTAAAACCTGTGGATTAAAGAGACATTATTTCTCCCCACCCCACCCAACACATACAGTATTCAGTGAGGAGAGAGGTATAGGGAAACTGTAATACACAGTTCTCCTCAAATAAAGGAGTAAAGAAGTCATGAAATGGTCAATGAGCCATACCAATTCTGAAACCACATTGTCATGTTATTCTACTGCTTGATTAGGAAATAATATCCTGCAACTACTGCCTATAACTTCTGGGTTCTGGATTGCACCCTCCAAATCATCCTTTCTTTTTATAAGATTTATCTTTTACTTGCAGTTATCTTAGCCAGCTTCTTGCCCATAATTAGAAATCCAAAGGCATATATACATATATATGTGTGTTTATATAACAGTACATCATATGTTTTTAATATATTTAAAACTATGTATGTGTGTGTGTGTAAATATATATACACACACGTATGTATGTATACACACATTTTGGGTATTTATCTTTCTGTCAATGTAAGCTGGTATAATTCCTTTAACACTTTTATGGCAATCTTATATTATCAATACTCCTCTTTATTAACCACACCCATATTTATATTCCAAGACCTGGAACCATTGTAAAGCTACTATGAGATCATACTTAGCATTCTTAGAGTTTCTACAGTTTGAATGAGTTTACAGGTCATGACTATACCATCTTTATGGGCTAGTTTGTTTAATTAAGAGCATCTATGAAGTAACTCTAAACTTTTCCCAGGTCTCATCAAGATCTTACAGAACATCTTTGATTTGAATTTTACTGTGAAGCCACAGGTCAAATCAGTGGCAATACTCTGCATTTGTTTTCTTTCTTTGGGGCTGTGACCTACTTTGAGAATCATTTGCTAATTGTAGAAATGTGCATGAGAAATAGCTCCATTTTTCAAACTAGGCCAGTCCTATATTATTTGTATTTCCCATACTACTACTAAAATATCAAATAGGTTTTTTTTCAACTCATCTGTCACTAGGTACACATTTTCATACACGTCTAAATCATTTAACACTTTCAACATTTTGCCTAAAAATATCATTAGCCAAATATACCAGTTCCTTTTCTACTTTTCCTTTTTATTATTATTATTATTACAAGCAGCAATTTCACTGAGCTTACCACCACTGCAAAATACACTTCATCTTTTCTCCTTTCTCCTTTCTCTAATGGCATTTTGCTTGCTGCCCCTCAAGCTCTCAATGTCTTCAAACCTACTCTAGTTCCAGTACATTGACCAGACCGAAAACCAATGCCAATTTTTAAAAACGTTTTGTTAAGGTAGCATCCTGATTCTAGGGACAAAATTGTGTTCCAGTTGTCTAATGCTATGTCATTTTTAATACCTCAAAACTTAATGCTTAAAATAAACTTTAATTGCCCTTCTGACATTGTAGTTCAGATGTTCAAAAATATGTCAATTAGGTGGATTACCCTTGATTCACATAAGATGAGTGAACATCTGGGGCTAGGGTATCCTCTTCCAAGATAGCATCTTGTCTCATGGACCTAGTGTCTTGGTGTCCTTCCCCTCTCATTCCTTCCCCCAGATGTTTCATCTTTCAGAACCACCTGTTATGGTTTCACTTTCTTCCAAGACTGTTAGACTAGTGTTGGCTTCCTCTAGGGCCAGGCATCTAGGGGTGTTTTCCAAAAGGCAACTTTCTAAGAGACAGGAAATTGAAACTACTGGTCTCTGAATTACCTAGGTACTGATACAGGCAGCATCGCCTCCTTCGTATTTTCTTATTCAAAACATACAGAAAGCCCAATCAGATCCAAGGACAGAAGACAGAGACCCAAGCTCTTAAAAGGAAGAGGTCAAAAATTTTAAATTTACACACTTTCTTTGTGCTTTGTGACTTTGCACAACTTATTTAACCTCTTTGAATCTCAGTTTTCTCTTCTATTAAATGCAAGTGAAATAGAAAATAATTCTATTCTCACTGCTTGCGAATACTACGATGAGAATTAAATGAGATCACAAGTGTGCAATGCCTATCACAGTAGACCTGGCACAGAGGAGAGTTAATAAATACTGTCTGTGATAATTATTATATTAGCATGAAGAACATTTGAATTTTCTTATATTATCATATAAGAAGCTAACTTCAAAGTATCCATTGTTGAAATTTAGACATAGCTATTTTCCGACACATGTTTTCGGCTAACAAGAAATTCCCATGTAAAAGACAGTAAAGGTCTAAGGAGCTGTGGGTGTGCTACAAACCTCAATTTCTTTTGGGATGTATATCTATATTTCGTATCCATTTCCTGTTTCATATTTATTAACATTAACATGGTTAATAAAATCTCAGCTGGGGTTTATTAAAGCATAGTTCATAGTGATTGCTGAATAAATATGCCCCAAATTCCTAACCTAAGAAGAAAAGCAAATCAAAACACATGAATTTCGGAAAACATCAACAAATCTGCCAAGTACTGTTAGAAACACACACACACACACACAGAGAGAGAGCGAGACAGAGAAAGAGAGAGACAGAGTCACTAGATTTAAGAGCTTAACATGATAGAAAATCACCTATAATGGTCCTTTAAACATGTACACATAATGACACACTTCTGGGTCCACAAAGTGCCCTTGTTGTAAACTACATTACGCTCAACCTCTTGAAATTTCTGCCTTTCATCTTCATCTTCAGAAAATGCGCTCCTCTCTGGACACTGAATGACACTCTCTTAGGATCTGTTGCTTTTAAATAGCATGAAAACCTTTCTCTGCTCTTTGTAACCATAATTATGGATCTAGTTAGGGTATAATAAAATTAATACTCAATGCATTCTTAGAAAAATTGGGATCAAAATCTCAAAGTCTTAGCTAAGCATTTGCTTGCTATTATTTAAATGGTGAAAGTATCAGTTTCTGCAATCATGAGCATTTATTAGATCATGCCACTGTGTCTAAAGTGGTGTGTAGACTTCAAGCCATACAATTCAGCATCTCAATGAATACAATCAAAAACCTTGTCTCTTCCTTTCTTTTTTTTATCTCAAGGCTGGTTTCTCTCTTATCAATAAATTACCAGCATCAAATGAGACTGTTCAGAGTCAGCAAAAGAGAGTATGCTTTTGTTATGGTGTTAAAAGCAAGAGTTCTTATATTTACTCTGAACTGGACAGGTAGTTCAAAGATCAGTTCCTAATAACAACAATAATTAAGGCTACATTTTAATTAGTACTTACTATGTTTCAGGCACTGTTCGAGTACTTAACAAGACTTAATTCTTCTCAAAAAATATGTAAAGCAGTAACTATAATTATTCCCATTTTATAAATAAAAACGTTTGGCATAGAGATATTAAAATGCTAGACCACGACCAAGGAATACATTTAGAGTGTGAAGGAGCTCCAGCTCTGTCCCACACAGCAGATTAACTGTGGACAACTTTTATTTAATGCTGTACTAATCTTCCTCACTGAGCCAGTAACTTTCCACATTGAAGAAAATACTGTTTGCCTTTAGGCAATCAAGCTCCCCTTCCCAAAATGGTGTTGCTCACACGTAGGAGAAGTGCTTACCTGAATGAAAACATTGGTTTGTCAGGAGAACAAGACCACTAGGCATTGGATAACCTTTATTTATCAAACTTACTAAAACATGCTCTGTGATTAGCTTTATAGCCTCTGAAGCATTGCCACGGAAAAGAGGGATAATTTGGGTCAACAAATAAAGCTTAAAGTGACAACAGACAGATTTGAAGTCAATATGTGGTCTTATTTTTAGAAACAGAATGATTAGGAATGTCTTCCCTAGGGGCTTCAACTGGGAGGTGGGAGAAACCTGAGACTCACGAATCTCACAATTTGGTTTACATGGTGCATGACTGAGATTTATGTGTAGTTTATTTTGATCCTGACTCATCTGTTCTACTTGATTATAATGTTTCTTTTAAAATTAAAACATCTAGAAATGGCTAAGAAATCTATCAGTGCAGGATGGAACAATTACTCATGATTCAGCCAAGCAGGGTTTGAATTTCTATGCTAACACAATGCAAGAATGCAAGTTATTATTATTATCATTATTATTATGATTATTATGATGATGATTATTATTATTATTTTGAGAAAGTGTCTCACTCTCATTTTCCTGGCTGGAGTTCAGTGGCATGATCTTGGATCACTCAGGCCTCAACTTCCTGAGTTGTTGATCCTCCACAATTCAAGTTCTTAAAGTATCATATATATGTTTTAAGGATAGCAATAGTCATTGTAGTGAACAGGAGGTAACTGATATAAAACATAAAATGTTGCTTTCAATTATGAGTACTAATTACATGAAAATGTCATTCTTATATCCTCTCTTTCTCTCTCTCTCCCATCTCCCTTATTTATTTCTTATTATATTTTCTTTTCTTTCATAAATAGTTTTAAATAGTTACTTTATTCCAAACATGTGACACTAAGGCTATAAAATTAAATAAGGTATAATGGTAATTGCCCTCAAACAGCTTAGGGGAGTTTAAGATATGGAGAAATGCAACTACATAATTGCTTTATGGATAATAGAATAGTATAGTGGTAGTACTATAAATAGTTCCTTATAGTAGTAGAGTAGTGTTATAGAACTCTGGCAAACATACATATTTCTAAACACCCCATATAGCAAGATTTTTAGATATTTCACCAAAAGCATGATCCACAAAATAGTAAATTTATAAATTGTACCTAGTTGATATCAAAAAAGTGCTCATCTCCTAAACATAGTATTTAGAGAACAGGAAGACATGACACAGAGTGGAAGAAAGTATTTATAAAGCATATATCTGCTAAAGAAATCATATTCATGATATATAAAGAGCTCTCAAAACTCAATAATGAGAAAAAAATAGGCACATATGATAAGATTGCATATGGTTCAACACACACACTCTTACATACACACTCATATACCTAGAAGCACAAGTGCAACTGAGAACATTGAAATCAGATCAGTGGATTGTATCAATCAATGTCAGTATCTTGGTTTTAAAATTTCACTATAGTTTTGCAAGGTGTTACCATTAGAAAAAATTATATAAAGAATACATGGAGTTTCCCTATATTATTTCTTATAGCTGTATGTTAATTTATAACTATGTCAAAAGAAAAAAATAAACAAAAAATTGACAAAATGATTTACAGAAGCATTTCACAAAGAAGATACATGAACACCAAATAATCTGAAAAGACATTCAACATGAAGTGTTGGTGAGGATATGGAAAAACAGGAACTCATAAAAACTGCTGATGGGAATGTAAAATGGCAAAACCACTCAAGAAACTGTTTGAAAGTTTTCAAAAAAGCTAAACATGTATCTACCATATGGTCCAGATATTCCACTCTTAGGTTTGAACCCAAGATAAATAATAGCATATGTTCATGTAAAAATGTGTATAGAATATTTATAGTATTTCTGTTTGTAGTAGCTCCAAACTGGAAACAAACCTAATGCCCACCAGCAGGTGAATGGATAAACAAACTTTGGTATGGTCATACAACGAAATGCCATTCAGCAATAAAAATAAGTGAACTATGTATATATGCTAAAACTTGGATGAATATTAAAATAACCATGCTGAGTAAAAGAAGTCAGGTTTTAAAAATAATATACATATAATTCTGTGCACGTAACATTTTAGAAAATGCAAGCTAATCTATAATGACAAAAACCAGATCAGTTCTTGCCCAGGGATAGAGGGAAAGGAAGGAGAATTTGCATGCAGGAATCAAAGATAAGGAATTATAAAGGTATATGATGAAAGTTTTGGGGAGAACGATGTTTATTATCCTTACTATGGTGATTTTTTGCAGGTTTATCAAACTGTACACTTTAAGTGTCTAGAGTTCATTTGATACCACTTCATCCTCAATAAAGCTGTTAAAAATATCATGATTTAAAAAAATACACTTACCAAACACCCATACAGATATATGTCTAGACATAACTATGGGAATCTAAAATTGATGATAGAGGCTGAGGAATAAATATGGTGTTTTGTCAGTGGTCTCTCTTTTGGTAATATTGAAGCTGAGAGACTGGATGAGAACTCTGGAGTGGCAGGATAGACAGGGGCATCTGGGGACTGAGAGCAATGCCACTCCAATGTTTAAAAGTTAGGAAGACAGGGAGTCTTCAGAGGAGGCTGAAGAAGTCAGCGATGCATAGTGGAAAACAAGGCACTGTGGCATGCAGAAATCAGAGCCTATATTTCAAGAATGTGAAACGATGCCAAAGTCCTAGTAAGAGGAGCTCTGTGAACTGACCACAGATTCAGCAACATGGAGTTCATCGCCCAGCTTAACAAAAATGAGTTTCCTAGGGTGATGTCTGCTGGCACCTGGCTTGAGTGAGTTTAAAGAGGAAGAAATGTAAAGAGTGACACCAAATTGAATGGACAACTCTAAGTTTTATGCTAACAGACAGCAGGAAAATGTAGCAGTGGCTGGAACAAAAAAGGTCATTTTTATATTTGTTTTATTGTTTCTATTGTTGGACATATTTCACCTTGTTTATACATTGGTTTATGTGGGTCAAGAATCAGATATATTCGTTAAGTTTTGAGAAGAGTTTTATAATTTTCATTTCTTCAAAAAATGTTATTATAAACAAAGCATGCTTCTCAATAGAGTATCTGGAAAGGAAGGACAAATCCCAGAAGTGACTGACTTAAGTAGAAAATGGCCTGGGTGAATATAAGATCCCAGGATAGTGCACAGGACCTATGTGAAACATGCAGACTGAAATTGAAAGGGATACGATTCAGGATGTATGTGTCAGTTCAGGCTGCTGTAACAGAATGCCACAGATTGGGTGGCTTAAATAGCAATTTATTTTTCACAGTACTGGAGGCTGCGAAGTCCAAGATTAAGTCATTAGCAGGTTCAGTGTCTGATGAGGGCCAGCTATGATTTGCAGAAGGCTATCTTCTCCTTGTATCCTTATGTGGCCTAAAGAGAGAAAGCAAACTCTCCTCTCTCTTCTATTAAGAACACTAATGACATTGATGAGGGCTTCACCCTCATGACCTAACTACCTTCCAAAGACACCACCTCCTAATACCATCAAACCGGGGAGTAGGACTTCAACATACAAATATGGGGGGATGGATACAGCATTCAATCCATAACAGCAAGATTGTCTTTTTCTTCCAGCCACAATGAGCATGTGGGAACAGTGCCACAACTGGACTAATTCAGTGTTTTGCGTCCCATGGAAAAGGAACAACTAGCTTTCTGTGGATGCAAGGGAGAGTTTATGACGGCAGCTTAAACTAGGCATTTAATGCATTCGTGAGAATGGTGTGGAACTATGAAGCTTCATAAGCTTTGTGTAAGTTACGTTGTTATCCTTTGAGTTAATGTTTTACATAGTACTCTCAAAGTTGCTCCAAACACTTCTCTGCTGGTTCTCTCTCTCTCTCTTTTCTCTCCTTCTCTTCTTTCAGTGATATATATATATATATATATATATATACACATACATACATACACACACACACACACATATATAATAAAAATATATAAACTATGTTATATATATATATATATATATAAATTTAGTGTACTCTAATAAGCATACCTTTTCAATTCAATGGGAGAACACTGCCCAGTCTAGACTACTCACAGTTTACCCTGCAGAGTTCTTTATGGCACCAGGGCAGTTCCAACTCAGCGAATCAAGGTGGTAAATTGTGTGCTTCTGACAAGGTTTTGTGTGTGGTAGGGAGAGGTGGAGGGTGTACTTTTTTTTTTAATGGAAAAGCCTTTGTATTAAGCCACTCTCCTGTTTAATCACATCAATTCAATAAAACAAACTATAGTAACAAGCAGTTAGTTGTTCCAGGTTTTTAAGATTCAATGCAGACTCTATTTTCAATAATTCACATTTTCCTAGGTGTGCTGGACATTTATTGGAGCTTAATCATTTTCTCTCCTTTATGAAATTAATTTTTAATACATGTATGGTATAAATTAGGCTTTGAGAAAGGAGTGGTCATTACTCCCTGTCCAAAAGAAAGGGGATTTTTAAAGATGCATGATTGCAAAGAAGTCGGAACCAGGTGTTTGCTACCATGAACAGTTTATTTCAATAACTATTCATCCTGAGAAAGAAATGGTTAGAGTTAAATTTTAACAAATATTTTACCATGCATTTTTTTTCCAGTTACTGTGCTAGACATTGGAGATTCCAAGCTGAAGAGATGATAGTTCTGCTTTCCGAAATGGTTGTTAGAATAACTATTATTTAACAATAAATATTAACGATTACTGTTACTCTTATGATAGTGATGATAAGGTTTTGGGTTATTAGCACTAACGTTATTATTGCCATTTTATTGTTGTTTTTTAATTTTTCTTTTTAGTATGCACGGACAGACAAGAAAAAGGACCCAAGGGTTGAATTTTGAGGAACATCAATGGTGATGAAGATATATCTATAAAAGAAAAAAACACTGTTTTAAAAGTTTTCTTCCTCCCTCCTGGACACATGTAGGGCTGCATTTTCTGTACTGCTTGTGGTTGGATGGCGAATGAAGGAAAGAGTCAGCTGATCTTAAATGTATTTACTCACAATCCTCCTTCTAGAATCTGCCACCTTAATGCCTGTCAGCATCTTTTTCTGCAGACGACCCATCCCAGCAGTACTCCTTCTCAAGAAGTTGTAGAGGCATGATTGTGTTCTTCCAACCCTACAGCTTAGTGAGAGAAGTTGCATCAATTTGGTGCTAAATTACAGTGGAAATGATAACTACCATAAGAGAATGAAATAATCCCATAAAGTGTTGGTGGGAGGAGTAATCTCAGAGTTGCAATACCTTTGTGTGTGGTAGAATAGTGACAATTGCATCTTTTTATAAAGGCTATTGAATAAATCCACTAATCATAACAGAATGACATTTTGTTTTTTTCTTAGCTAACAGCTACTTGGATAACTTTCTGCAACAGGCATTCATTGAGGTAAGACCACAAAATTACATTTGTGACTTTCAATATAAGGCAGAGAGCTTTTACTCTAAATTTCTTTGCTTTCTCTGGTATTCTTAGGAGATAATTCAAGCAAAAAAAAATTAATTATCACTGGCATTAACCATTTTACTATAATGACCTCATTACTGGCACACCTGAACAGATATCTGAAGAATCAATTTAGTAGCCAGTTAACTCCCTAGAGACACCAGATAAAGGCACCAGATTTTAGGGAGTCATGCCAATTACAACAAAATACCTACTTTACAATAAGCATACTTGAGTGTGTTAAGATATCTAATGTACTATGTTAAGACTGCCTTGTTTTTTATTAATGCAC